>NC_000006.12:156131396-156282911 GCF_000001405.40 Homo sapiens
ACTGTTCTCACATAAGAGGAAGTGGGGACAGAGGAACGCAGGGTCACAGCTGTTCCCCAGGGTCACCCTGTGGCCCAAGCTCTTTCTCTTTCTCTGCTTTGTCATCCTAAGAGTAAAACTTGCATCTCATGGAGGCCTCAGTGTCCCAAAAGACAGAGGACTGCATCTTGGGCCTCCATCTACATTCCAAACAGGAAGAAAGGTGAAGAGGAGGGTGGAAGTTGGCGAGAGTGCACAACAGGAGGGAAGAGACAATGATCTGGATCTGGGTAGTGAAACTTCCCTGGAACCTCCAGCCAGCTTCCTCCCTACATCTTCTCACTGACTACAATCATGTCACATGGCCATCTCTAGCTGCAAGAAAGCTGAGAAATAGACAATTTGTACTGAGCGGTTTGCCATCCTGAACAAGACTGAGTTTTGGTTAGTAAGAAAGAATATATTTTAGTCAAATAATTAGAAACGCTTGCCATTATTTCAAAGATTGTCAAAGATAAGAGCAAAACTGTGTTTTGCCTGTCTGCAGCTTCTGCTCTCCCAACCCCACTCCTGCACAACTGCATTTTAACTGTGTATTTGTGAATTTAAATACATTTTAAATCCATTTTCTTACTAAATTATAGTTTTAGATTATAGGACGTTTCTTTCGAAAGTTTCAAAATCACATTCAGCTTTTAAAACACATTTGAGCATTAAATTTATTACTTAAATTTATAATTATTTTCTCTGTTTACTTCAGATTCTTATATATCATAAAATTGTCTTTTTTATACTTTGAATTTTGAGTTTTATGGGGTTTTTTAATAATTTTCTAAAGTATGTGTTCAAGTGATTTTGGAAAATATGTGTTAAGTGGTATGTGTTCTGGGCTCTTGCATGTTAGCAATTCTCTTCCTAATTCAACATTCCAGAGCCTAACTTGTGGGTAACATTTGAAAATAGTTGCCATTACAAAAAGCATTAAAAAGTGGGCAAAGGACATGAACAGACACTTTTCAAAAGAGGAGGACGTACACGCGGAACAACAAACATATTTTTAAAAGTTCAATGTCACTGACTATTAGATAAGTAATACAAGTCAGAACCACAATGAGATACCATCGAACACCAGTCAAAATGGCTATTATTAAAAAAAATCAAAAATAACAGACGCTGGCGAGGTTGTGGAGAAAAGGGAACACTTATACACTGTTGGTGGGAGTGTAAATTAGTTCAACCATTGTGGAAAGCAATATGGTGATTCCTCAAAGAGCTGCAAAAGGAACTACCATTTGGCCCAGCAATCCCATTACTAAATATATACCCAAAGGAACATAACTCATTCTATCACAAAGATACGTGCACACGAATGTTCACTGCAGCACTAGTCACAATAGCAAAGACATGGAATCACCCTAAATGCCCATCAGTAGTAGACTGGATAAGGAAAATGTGGTACCTCTACACCATGGAATACTATACAGCCATAAAAAAGAATGAGATTGTGTCTTTTGAGGGAACATGCATGGAGCTGGAGGCCATTATCCTTAGCAAACTAACACAGGAAAAGAAAACCAAATACCATGTGTTCTCACTTATAAGTGGGAGATACATGATGAGAACTCATGAACACAAAGAAGAGAACAACAGACTGGGGCCTCCTTGAGGGTGGTGGTGGGGAGAGGAGAAAGAGGAGTTGAAAAAATTACTATTGGGTACTAGGCTTAGTATCTGGGAGAGGAAATAATCTGTACAACAAACCTCCATGACACAAATTTACCTGTACAAAAAGCCTGTACATGTACCTCCTAATCTAAAATACAAGTTAAAAAATAAATAAAATAAATACAAATAAATGAACTCACTTAGGCTCCTCATCACTTTATAACCAAAAAGTAACTTGCTCTTCTCTTAAGACCATAGCCAACAATGTTTGAATTTCCAAAACAAAACAAAACATAATTCTGAAAGCACTGACAAACAGCACAGATCTTAACTGAACTTAATATGAAGGCAGGAGCCACACTGCACACCACTCAACAAGACTTCTACAAATGTATTTCTCCCTTGCACTCACTCTTTCCTTAAAGTTTCATGCTTTATAGCAGGTACCATGTCACCTCTCTTGCTGCATCTTTGGCCCTCCTTGAACATTTGGCTTTCTGTTGCTCTCTCCCACAGTCTCTGAAATCTGTCCATTTACTTTTTATCTTTATTTTTAATTTACTCTTTTTTGGCACACGGTTTGTGTATTTTGTCAAATGCATAGAATTGTGTAACCCTCGCCCCAAATAGGATACAGGAAACATCACCTCAAAGGTTCCTCACGCTTGCCCCTTTGTAATCCAACCCTCTCTTCCCCTGACCCCTGGCAGCCACTGATTGGTTATTTCTACCATTTTGGTTTTTTTCCCTCCTTCTCTATCATTTTGGAATCACACACTATATAGATATTTGAATCTGGCTTTTTTCATTGGCATAATACATTTCAGATTCATCCAAGTTGTTGCATATATCTATAGTTTGTTCCTTTTTGTTTCTGAGTAATATTTCATTGCTCGGACACACCACAGTGTGTTTATTCATTGGCCAGTGTAGTGAGTGAAATTATGTCTCCAAAAAAGACATATCCAAGTCTTACTCCCCTTTATCTGTAAATGTTTTCTTATTTCAAAACAGCATCTTGGCAGATGTAATCAAGTTCAAATGAGACCATGCTGGCTTAGAGGGGGCCCTAAATCCAATGGCTGATATCTTTATCAGAGAAAGGAGAAAGAGATTTAGATACAGAGACATGAAAGAGACACAGGGAAGAAAGCCATGTGAGGATGGAGATAGAGATTGGAGTGAGGCATCTGCAAGCCAACGAACACTAGGGATTGTGGGAAGCCATCGGAAGGGAGGAAGAGGCAAGTAAGGATTTTTCCCTAGCACCTTTAAAGGAAGCATGGCTCTGCCAACACTTTACTTTTGGATTTCTAGCCTCCAGAACTGTGAGAAAATTAATTTCTGCTGTTTTAAGCCTCCAAATTTGTGATTTTTTTTTTTACAGCAGCCCTAGGAAACTAATGAAACCAAATGAAGGATATTTGGGTTATTTATAATTTGGGGAATAAATTATGAATAAAGTTGTGATAAAAATTCATGTACAGGTTTTTGTGTGACCGTAGGTTTTCATTTCTCTAGAGTAAAATAGGAGCGAGACTGCTAGACTGTATGTTAAACACATGTTTAAGTTCATTTAAAAAACTGCCATGCGGATCACGAGGTCAAGAGATCGAGACCATCCTGGCTAATACAGTGAAACCTGTCTCTACTAAAACTACAAAAAATTATCAGGGCGTGGTGGCGGGTGCCTGTAGTCCCAGCTACTCGGGAGGCTGAGGCAGGAGAATGGCATGAACCTGGTGGGCGGAGCTTGCAGTGAGCTCAGATAGCGCCACTGTACTCCTGCCTAGACGACAGAGCGAGACTCCATCTCAAAAAAAAAAAAAAAAAAAACTGCCATGCTCTTCACCAAAGCAGCTCTACTGTTTTGCGCTTCTTCTAGCAATGAATAAAAATTTGAGTTGCCCTTCATCCTCACCAGTACTTGTTTTTATCAGATTCTTTCATTTGTTTTTTAAAAATTTTCGCCATTCTTATAGTTGTGTGGTGGTATCTCATTGTGGTTTAATTTATATTACCTTAATGACTAATTGTATTAGTCTATTTTTACATTGCTAAAAAACACATACCCGAGACTTCATAACTTATAAAGAAAAAGAGGTTTAATGGACTCACAGTCCCACATGGCTGGGGAGGCCTCACAATCATGGTGGAAGGCAAAGGAGGAGCAAAGGCACTTCTTACATGGCAGCAGGAAAAGCGAATGAGTTACCAGCAGGGAAAATGCCAGACGCTTATAAAACCATCAGGTCTTGTGAGAACTCACTCATTATCATGAGAACAGTATGGGAGGAAACTGCCCCATGATTCAATTATCTCCACCTGGCCGCACCCTTGACACATGGGAATTATTACAATTCGAGGACAGACTTGGGTGGGGACACAGAGCCAAACCATATCACTAATGATGTAGAACATTTTTTCAGGTCCTTAAATGCCATCCATATATTTTCTTTGGTTAAATGTGTCTACAAATACTTTGCCCATTTTTAATTAAATTGTTGGCTTTCTTATTGCTGAGATTTTAGAAATTATCATTTATTCCCACATGTGCTTTATCAGATATATATTTTACAAATATCTTCTCCTAATCTTTGTCTAGTCTTTTATTACTGTCTTTTTAAAAGCAAAATTGTTAATTTTGATAAAGTCCAATTTATCATTTTTTTACGAACCAGATTTTTGGCATCATATGAAAGGACTATTTGTTGGATCTAAGATCACAAAGATATTCTCCTATGTTTTACTCTAAAGTTTTAAATTTTCATTTACATTTTATACTTACATTTAGTTCTCTGATACATTTTGACTTATTTTGTATAATGTATGAGATATAAATTCTAGTTTACTTTTATGCATGTGGTTATCTAATTAGTCTAGCATCATTTATTGAAAATATTATGGTTTCTTCATTGAATTCCCTTTGTCCTTTGTCAAAAATCAATTGAACACATTTGTGTAAATTTACACGTAGACTCACTATTCCAGTAATCTATGTGTTACTTTTTAATATGTCTTCAAACTAGATAGTGTAACTCCTCCGATATTTACTCTTCTCTTCCAGTATTATTTTGTGTGTTCTAGTTCCTGTGATTTCCATGTAAACTTTATTATATTTTTTATTTTAGATTCGGAGGGCACATGTGCTTGTTTGCTGCATGGGTACATTGCATATTGGTAGGGACCGGGCATCTGGTATACCTATTAGCCAAATAGTGAACATTGTACCTGGTAGGTAATTTTTTAACCCACATAAACTCTAAAATTACCTTTTGATATATAAAAATGTGACTTTTTATTGAGATTATGTTGAATCTATATATGAGTTTTGAGTGAATTGACATTTTAACAATATTGAATTTTTCAATCTATGAACACAATATACATCTCCATTTATTAAGGTCTTATTTGATTACTTTCATCAGCATTTCTTATTTGATTACTTTCATCAGCATTTTATAGTTTTCTGAATATAGGTCCTGCATATATTTTGTTAGATTAATACTTATTTCATATTTTCTTGGAGCTATTGAAAATGGCATGTTTTATAAATTTTGATTTTCCATTGTTCATTGGAAGTATATAGAAATACTATTGATCTTCATGCTTGAATCCTGTATACTTGCTAAAATCATTTACTAGTTCTAGGAGTTTTTGTAGGTTCTTTGAGATTTCCCATGTAGACAATCATGTTGTCTACAAATAAATAGTTTTATTTTCTTACCAATATTTGTGCTTTTTATTTCTTTATCCTGTGTTATTGTGTTGACTAAGACTGCTAGTAGGATGATGAATAGAATTGGTAAGAGCAGAAATCCTTGCCTTGTTCCTGAAATTAGGGGAAAAGCATTCAGTCTTTCACAAATTAGAATGATACTAGCTATAGCTTTTTGTGGATGCTCTTTATTAAGTTAAAGAAGTTCTCTGTATTCCTACTTTGCTGAAAGCTTTTGTCATAAACTAATATCGACTTTTGTCATATACTTTTCTGCATCTATTGAGATGATCATAAAGTTTTTTTCTTTTTTTTATTTGAGACAGAGTCTGGCTCTGTTGCCCAGGCTGGAGTGCAGTGGTGCGATGTCGGCTCACTGCAAGCTCTGCCTCCCAGGTTCACGCCATTTTCCTGCCTCAGCCTCCCGAGTAGCTGGGACTACAGGCACCTGCCACCACTCCTGGCTAATTTTTTTGTATTTTTAGTAGAGACAGGGTTTCACTATGTTAGCCAGGATGGTCTCGATCTCCTGACCTCGTGATCCGCCCACCTTGGCCTCCCAAAGTGCTGGGATTACAGGCGTGAGCCACTGCGCCCGGCCAAAGTTTTTGTCTTTCATCTGTTAATATGGCAAATTACATTGACTGATTTTATAATATTAGAGAAGCTTTTTACTACTAGGATAAACCCCCATTATTTGGGATGTAGAATGCTTTCTACATATTGTAGAATTCAATTTGCTCATATTTTCTTAAGAAATTATGCATTTTTATTCACGAGATATATTGTTCTGTAATTCTTTTCACTTGTGAAATCTTTCTCTGGTTTTAGTAATTGTAATGTTAATCTCGTAAGTGAGTTGAAAATTGCTCTCATCTTTTTCATGGAAGATATTGCATATAATTGGTATTATTTCTTCCTTAAGTGTTTATAGGATTCACTAGTGAAATCAGTCAAGGGTAGAGTCAATGGTGAAAGACCTGGTCCGAGTCCAAAGGCCTGAGAACCAGGAATGCCAATGTCTGAGGGCAGGAGAAGACAGATATCCCAGATCAACAGAGAGCAAACTTGCCCTTTCTTCACATTTTTGTTCTCTTCAGGCCCTCAATAGATTAGAAGATGTCCAGCCACATTGGTGAGGACAATCTTCTTTACTAAGTTGCTTCAAATGCTAATGTCTTTTGGAAACACCCTCATAGATACACCCAGAAATAATATTTTGCCAGTTATCTGGGCAAACTTCAGCCCAGTCAAATTGACACACTAAAATTAACCATCACAATTGTTAACTTATTATTCTTTTAATGATTTCACTTTTCTATCTGATTGTGATAATTTGGATATTCTCTTTTCTTTCCCCTTGGTCCATATGGCTAGGAATTTATCACTTTTTTTTTTACAACGTTTCTTTCAGTTTCTCTATTATTTATGTTTTCAATTTCATTATTTTTTAAAAATCTATTATTTTCTTTATTATGCTTTATGATGGTTTAATTTGCTTTGTTTTTATTGTCTAAAGTAGAAGTTTAGATTATTTATTTCAGATAAGTTTTCTAATACAAGCATACAGAACACTTGTAAGTGACTCATACGTCTAAGAGTCTTAAGGAAAATTAGGAAGTGTCTTGAACCAAATGAAAATGAAAATGTATAATGTGTATACATTTTCATTTTCAAATCAAAATTTGTGGGATGCAGCTGAAGTAGTGCTTAGAGGGAAATTCGTAACAGTAAATGCTTTTGGATGTATACCAATAAGTGGGATTGCTGGATCATATGGTAGTTCTATTTTTAATATTTTTCAAGAAGATTCATACTGTTTTCTATAGCTTTACCATTTTACATTTCTGCCAACAGTGTACCAGAGTTCCAATTTCTCTATATCCTTGCCAACACTTATCTTTTTTTAAATAATAGCATCCTAACAAATGTGAGGTGATATGTCATTGTAGTTCTAATTTGAATTTCCCTGATAATGATGTTGAGCACCTTTTCATATATCTGTTGGTCATTAGTATGTCTTCTTCGGAGAAATGTCTGTTCAAGGCCTTTGCCCAATTTTAAGATGGGTCATTTGGGTATTATGCTATTATTAATAACTTGTATGAGTATCTTCTAAATTTTGGAAATTAACTTCTTATCATATATATGGTTTGCATGTATTTTCTCCCATTCTGTAGGTTGCCTTTTCATTCTGATGGTTGTTTCCTTTACTGTGCACAAACTTTTCAGTTTGTTGTAATCCCACTTGTCTAGTTTCCCTATTGTTGCCTATGCTTTTAGTGTCAAGAAATCATTGCCAAGACCAATGCCAAGCAGCTTTTCCCCTATTTTTTGGTAGGAGTTTTATAGTCTCTGGTCTTACAATTAAGTCTTTGATCCATTTTGAGCTGATTCTGTTCAGAGAAAAATTCCAGATTCAGGTATATAAAATCCTCCTGCCTCAACCCCCACAAGTAGCTAGGACAGGCGTGCACCACCACATCCAGCTAATTTTATGGTATAAGGTAGGTATACAATTTCTTTTGCCTGTTTTTGTTGTTGTTGTTTTCTTTTCTTTTCTCTCACATGTTGATATTCACTTTCTTCAGTGCCAGATGTTGAAACTGTCTTTCCTTCATTACGTAGTCTTGGAAACTTTGTCATAAATTGGCTCTTTTAGTTTGTAATGCCCTTCTTTATTCCAGGAATTTTTTTATTTGAATTTTTCTTCATCTGATATTAATATAGGACCTCTTCCTTTCTTTTGATTAGTTTTTTCAAGGCATATCATTTTCCATCTTTTTTCTTGTCTATAAAATTGTATTTTTTTTATAGGTATGTTGATTTGGGTTTTTGTGGGGGGGGTTTTGTTTGTTTGTTTGAGGCAGGGTCTCACTCTGTTGCCCAGGCTGGTGTGCAGTGGCATGATCTTGGATCACTGCAATCTCCGCCTCCTGGGTTAAAGTGATCCTCCTGCCTCAGCCCCCACAAGTAGCTAGGACAGGTGTGTGCTACCACACCTGGCTACCTTTTGTATTTTTTGTAGAGATGGGGTTTAACCTTGTTGCCCAGGCTGGTCTTAAACTCCTGAGCTCAAGCAATCCATCTGCTTCAGCCTCCCAAAGTGCTAGGATTACAGGCATGAGCCAATGTACCTGGCCTATTGTGGGTATGCTGAAAATTTTATATATCTGAATCTGGAATTTTTCTCTAATTGAACAATTGATGTTTTTTAATTTGGTTTAAACAATATTATATTTATTGAAATTATTGACATATTTGAACTTAAATCAATATTTTATTTTTTGTTTTTCTTTAGTATACTTTGGTTTCGTTGCCTGACTCACCTTTTTTTCTGTCTGCTTTTGGGTTATTTGAATATTTTTAGCTTTTTCTCTTATCTAGTGGATTTGGGGATCTACTTTTTTGTGCTATTTCTTTAGTTGTTTCTCTTTCACAATTAACTTAGAGTTAATATTTTACCACGTACAGCCATATAGGTCCCTTTTTCTTCTTCCCTTTGTGCTATACTTGTCATATGTATTACAGTTACAGGCATTTAAAACCACAGGACAAATATTGTAGGTTTTGTTCTAAATATTCATACATAGTTTAACTCAAAATAATACCCTATTTTATTTACCCAGATATTTACCAATTCTGTTGCTCTCTTTTTTTCACTCCTGATGTTCCTTTTTCCCTCTAATATTATTTACTTTTCACCATGAAGAAATTCCTTTAGTTGCTGATAATGTCTTTATTTCACCTTCATTTATAAAAGAGTTTTCCTGAATATAACATTCTGGGTTGAAAGTTCATTTTGTTTCTACTTTAAAGGTGGTGTTCCACTGTCTTCTGAGTTTCATGTTTTCTTTTTTTTTTCTTTTTTTTTTTTTTTTTCTCCTTGAGATAGAGTCTTGCTCTGTCTTCCAGGCTGGAGTGCAGTGGCGTGATCTTGTGCAACCACCACCTCCTGGGCTCAAGCGATTCTCCTTCATCAGCCTCCCAAGTAGCTGGGACTACAGGTGTGCACCACCATGCCCGGCTAATTTTTGTATTTTTAGTAGAGACGGGGTTTCACCATGTTGGCCAGGCTGGTCTTGAACTCCTGACCTCAACTGATCTGCCCACTTCAGCCTCCCAAAGTACTGGGATTACAGGTGTGAGCCACTGCACCCGGCCTGACTTCCATGTTTTCTGACAACAGATCTGCAGTTTTCCCCTGTAAGTAATGTGTCTTTTTTTCCTCTGGCTACTTTCTAGATTCATTTTTAAATCTTTGGTATTCCGCAGTTTGATTACGACGTGTCTGGGCCTCTACTTCATTGATGTGTATTGAGCTTCTTGAATCTGTAAATTTGTATCCTCAACTAATTTGGAAATTTTCTATTATGATTATTTCAAATATTTTTTCTGGCACTCTTTTTGCACTCCTTTCACTTTCCTTCAGGTACTTCAATAATTTAAATGTTAGAGGTTTTGATATTTTCCCACATATACCTGAGCCTGTGTTTGGTTTCTTTTCTATTTTTTTCTCTCTGTACTTCAGATTAGATCATTTGACTCTATCATTATGTTTGTTTATTTTTTTAAGATATCGCCATCATTCCATTGAGGCCAGATAATACTTTTTTACTTATGATATTATATACTTTTATTCTACAGTTCCGTTTAGTTACTTTTCAATTGTTCCTCTTTTTCTGCTGAGAGTTTGTATCTTTTCATTCATTTCAAGAGTGCTTGCCTTTACTTTATGGCACATGGTCATTAAAGCTGCTTTAAAATCTTTATTTGATTATTCCAACATCTGGGTCTTCTTGGCTTCGGGGTCACTGATTGTCCTTTTCCTTGAGAATTGCTTAAATTTTCTGGTTATTTGTATGTTGAGTGATTTTTGAATTGTATTATAGATGTATGAAATTAAATGTGAGACATACTGAATATAATGTAGTGAGACTCTGTATCCTGTTAAAATCCTCCAAACAATGTTCTTTTTTGATTGGTTTGTTTGGCAGTCAATTTACAAAACAAAGCTATTTTTGTAAAATGCTATTTTTCTTTGAGTATGTTCTACACATTTAGCTCAGGTGGGATCTCGGGACTTGTGTTGGTCTATGTACCATAATTAGAGTGTACCCTTCTCTAGCTATGTCTTCTCAAAGATCCTGCCACTCTTTGGCTGTTAGAGACTATTTTACCAGTTCTTCTGGCCAGAAAGATGAGCTTCTTTTTGGATTTTAGGCCCAGTGCTCTTGCACTGTTCTGTGCAATGGGGGCCACACTTGGGATACAGGGGTAAGAATATAACAGAATAAATAAAAGATTCCTGCACACTATTCAGGCTACTTGGATCCCTTTTTCCCATTCCTCTGACCACAGATATGGATTAGCTCTTGGGATTTGTATACCCCACCACCACCATATCTAGGCAATACATCACCATGACTGGGGCTGGCCTCAGGCAATGCCAAGAAAGGAAAAAGAGAAACAAACAGAAAAAAAAACAGGGATTTCATTTCATATTCTCTTTCAGTGACTTATTTTTGCTGGTCATCTGATTGGAAAGATGGCTTTCTTTTGGGTTTTGCTCTCCACACCTGTGGCACAGTTTCACCTCTCAGAGTGTTGTTGGTTTTCCATGAATCAAAGCTGAGACATAGAGGAGGAGAATGAACAGAAAACTTACTAGTACTAGCTTGTTATGAACTGAGTGTTTGTGCTCCTGGAAAATTCATGTGTTGAAATATTAACCCCCACAATGCAATGGTATTCAGAGGTGGAGTCTTTGAAAGGTAAGTAGGTCATGGAGGTGGAGTCTTCTAGAACGGGATTAAAGTCCTTATAAGAGGAGACATGACAGCTTCCTTCCTCCCCCTCCCCCCGCTTTCTCTCTCTCTCTCTCCCCCTGCCCTCTTTCTTTCTATCTCCCCCTATATGAGGATATAACAAGAAAGTAGCCATCTGCAAAGCAGGAAGTGTGCCCTCACCAGACATCAATCTGCTGGTGCCTTGATCTTGGACTTCCCAGTCTCCAGAACTGTGAGAAATAAGTTTGTGGTTTAGCAACCCCACCTATGCTATTCCATTATAGCAACCCAAACTGACTAAGACATGGTTATTCTTCAAGCTTTGACTTCCTGTCTGTATTTACCTCTTATTGTTTACTTTTTAAGTCTTCAAATAGTTGTCTTATGTATTCTTTCCAGAGGTTTGAGTTTTAACCAATGGGTTAGATAAGAAATAGTTGGCTTGCTCCACCTTGGCCACCCACAAATCTGTCATATACTCATTATTTAGAATAATTTGTCTCTTGGCTTCTCTCATTTTTATTCTTTATTCATTAACTAAATGACAATTTTTTCCTGCCACAATGACATTGATTCTACTGAAGTAAGGATAAAGTAATGTCTCTTCAAGAACAATACTTACCTGCCCACCATGGATTTTTATTTTTCAGTTTGTTAAAGGGTGTCACATATTAAAAACTTTGTAAAGTTAAATTAATGTGATCATTATGGCATGCGTCCATCATTCAGTTTACTGGTAAAGGAGATTTAAAAGCCCAACAGAATAACATGGAAACTATAAAACTTTAAATCACCTATCTGCTCTTAAGTTAGAATTGTCATTTTATACAGCTAAAGGATCAGTAGTCTGTAATAATATATCTCTTCTTCTCATACAAGAATGTGATTAGAAAGACACCATATGGTAGCAGTCTGTGTTTTATATATAAATGGGGCAGGGGAAGGAGGAGGAGTGAAAGAGAGGGAAATAAAGGTACTTCTGATTGTTAACCAAGTATAAGATATATCAAGATGAATTCTATTTCTCTGACAAACAGAGCACCCACTATGCAAGGCAGGCTTCTTGTTACATGCTGGAGGAAATCTTTTAAATGCCTAAGACAAGTTTTCCTATTTCTTAGGAGTTTGGTAGGAGAAACAACCTGCACACCATTGTTTTAAAGGAAGTTAAAGAGTTATAATGCCAAAAGGTGATCAGTATAAACCACAATGGATGTTCCACAATAAAACGGTGGATGAGTTAATCATGAAAGAGTTAGAACCCCTAAAGAAGAGTGGGGATTGGAGAATACAATGTTTTGGGTAAATGCAAAGATAATAGAATGAATAGAATGAGTTAGCAGAAAAATATAAAGCATAGAAAGGAAATATCACAAGATTCCATTTTCTACTGAGTGGTAGGAGATAAAGCTGAAAATGTGGACTAGGACCAGATCACTGAGAATGTTAAAAGCCAAGGCAAAAAAAAATTAACTTGGTAATTAGCAAAAAGCCACAATAGAAGGTGGTTGAATAGGATGAATGGCACCATAGGAGCTATGATTCTGGAAGACCTATCTGTAATGTGAATTATGATGATGCTTGAGTAGGGAGGAACACGGATAAAAGAATGTCAGCTGGATTGATACAATGATCTGGACAAGAGTTAGCAATTTTAGCTAAGGTGATAAAAGAAATGGAATGGAAAGAAGATTGATTAAAAGTAAACTTGATGATGGTCCTGGGTGCCTTGGAAATAGGAAACACAGAGGGGTGACCGGTTGGGGAGAAAAGTAGGCAAGTATAGCCAAAAATATTGAATTTGAGTTGCTTCTAAGACAATCTGTTAGAGATGCTCATCAGGCAGGTAGGATGGAAGGGCTCAACAGCACAGGAGAGGAGACAGCTCTGGAAATGGAAAGGCAAGTGATGAGATCAAGGATGTAAGGAATTTCCAGGGGGGTGAAGGGGAAAAAAAGAGAAAACCATGGGAGATATCTGACTTTCCAGGACAGGAGGTAGAGAACAGAGAGATGCTTTGAAAAAGAGGTAGAAACAGTATCAATTCTGAACAAGGTCTCAGAAGACAAGGGAAAAGAGTTTTAAGGAGGTGTGGCAGTGCTGTAGGGAGCTCAGCAGGGTAAGCACTGAGACACTTTGCAATTGAGAGACCAGTGGTGACTGCTGCAGGAGCAGTTGTGATGGCAGAAGCAGGGATACAAGAGTGAAGGATTAATATGGTTTGGCTGTGTCCCCACCCAAATCTCATCTTGAATTGTAGCTCCAATAATCCCCACGTGTTGCAGGAGGGGCCCAGCAAGAGGTAATTTATGTATGGGAGCAGTTACCCTCATACTGTTCTTGTGATAGTGAGTGAGTTCTCACAAGATCTGATGGTTTTATTAGAGGCTTTTCCCCTTTTACTCAGCACTTCTCCTTCCTGCCACCATGTGAAGAAGGACATGTTTGCTTTCCCTTCCACCATGATTGTAAGTTTCCTGAGGCCTCCCCAGCCCTGCAGAACTGTGAGTCAATTAAACCACTTTCCTTTATAAATTACCCAGTCTTGGGTATGTCTTTATTAGCAGCATGAGAACAGACTAATACAAGGATCAAGAGGCTGAGACTGGGAGCAAGGGGCACAGTGCACGTACCTCTCTTGAAAAAGTCTAGGAGTCATGACCTAGATTCTACAGTACAACCTGAGAGGAGTATGACCTCTACTGGGTAGATCTGCTAACAATTTGAGGGAAATAACTGTCCGATGGTGTCAGATGTTCCAGCTAATTAAGACACCCCAAAAAATTATGTGGAAAACAAGAAATGATGGATTCAAGCAAAAGGTTTTCCTCAAACAGAATGATACAGATTTTCTTTTCTTCAAAAATCTCTTTTATCTCATTTCATAAAAAGACTTATTCCCCTGCCTCACTGTCTTTGTCAGGTTTATGTTCCCGCAGAAGACAAAGAATGGTGTTACATTCCAAAGATGCACACTATGAAGAAAGAACACTCTCCTTCCTAGCAGAGGGAAGGGGAAAAAAGCAAAGCAATGAGCTGGGATGCTCTCATGGAAAGCAGATGTACCACTTTGGCCTTGCATTCCCACTTGCAGCCAAACTCATTCTACAACCTACAGACTCCTTGCTTGGGAGTTTCCAGTGGGAAGTTAACTGTGCCTCTCGTTCTTCTTCACTCCACTCCACTTCACTCCCCAGTTGGTTTTATTAACAGCACCTCCTCCTTGCCCTTCTCATCCCACAGCCACCACCTGCTTCCATAAGACAGTGAGGAGCACAGCAGGAAGAGAAGGAGTCTTGCCGAGAGCCAGCATCTCCTACTCCTCCGCCATTAACTGGTAAACGCAGACCGCAGGCTCCTCCTTTGACACTGGGGAGCTAGAATGTTCCCCTAAGCACTTCGTGCTCTGAGACTTTATAAAAATGTGAAAAGAGGGCTTGGGAAAAAATGAGAAGATCTGTAGTCTGGGTTTTTGGGCCCTCCCTGGCTCTCACTCTGCCACTGCTTACAGTGACTGACACTCTTAGGGAGATACTACAGTGCCCTGTTTAAAAATTTCACTGAGGTTACTTAACGCTCATTTTTTAAAACTGCAATGAAATGGAAAATGAGGAAATGGCAAGGTCAGCTTCATCCTGGCTACTTTCAGCCCGTCTTCCCAGGAACTTTATCCAGGACACAGCGGAGCTTACATGCAAATTCGTCTCCTCCAGGACTGACAAGTGTGACAGGACTTTTTGTAGGACATGCTAAATCTAGGAATCATCAAAGGGTAAGTTCTTAAAGGAAATTCTGGGCTGGTGAGGTGATCCATTCTGTCCTCTTTTTTCCTCTTTTCTCTGCCTTCTCTCTCTCCTCTTTTCCTTCTGCAGAGACACTTGATGTAAGGGCCAGGAATGCCTTCTGCCTAAGTTCTGCAGAGACATTTGATAAGACGTAGGGCAGGAATACCTTCTGCCTGACTTGTGCCTTTAGCTCTGGAGGAATATGGAGAGCTGGGGAAGAGGAGGGTGAACCGGGTCACTGTAGAGAAGAGGAAAATGCCAGCGGCTCATGACCAGCTCTGCAAGGTGAGAGTTCAGTTCACTAGACTAGTCAAATAGGGTGGGGATTGGAGACAGAAAGAAACCCAATGCAAAAACTTAAATGGTCTGGCCAGACCGTCCATCTCTTTCTCTGAAAAAACACCTCTCGACGACCTGAGCAAAGGATAAGCAGCTACACAGGTGCTGATGCAGCCAGGAACAAAAACCCTAAGCTACTGTCTTGCAGAGGGTGGACCCCTGAAGAACAGCCATGGAACCAGTAAGAAGGGAGGTCAGGAAGGATGAAGGAAGCACAGAAAGTCAGCAAAATACCAAGCTCTCATGGTTAACAAAAAAAGCTGCACAGAAATGGAACAGTGAATTATGTAACCCAAATGGTTTCCATTGTCAATGAAGTACTAAAACTGTGTTCTTCCAAACGAGGACTGTGGGAGGCGCTCTGCAGGAAGGCGAGACGGTGACTGGCTGCGGGGGGCTCCCATGGCAGCAGGTGAGCAGCACCAGGCTCAGCCTTGCTGTCAGGTGCACTCAGCAGACTGCCAAGGGGCCCGGGTTGCCCACAGTTGCTCTCAGACAAGGCTAAGAGAACATAAACAATCGTTATTAAACATCCCTATGCTAATAGCATGACTCTGTATTTATCCAGCACTCTGCCAAGAGCCCAAACCTTTATCCAGGACACCAGAACAGTTGATCTTAACACCTTTGAACAGATGGAAACTGCACAAATGGGAGAAGCAGGAATAGAAAAGAAAACTATACCTCTTACGTGCTAACCTTGGCCCAGAAAGGACATAATGTGTAAGGGGGAACTGTCAAGAGAAAAATTGCAATCTCTTCAGAAGCCAATGTACCTTTAATTTCAAAAGTACAACTGAGTACCATTTTCTAGACAGATGATTCCCCACTTCATATCTCTTGCTGTTCTTTGGATAACTTCTGTTATTTCTCTTCCATCTGTTATTTTCATTTATTTCAGCTAGATTTTTCCAAATTGGAGGATCTTATTTTGGGAACGATGTATTCCAGAAATGTTACCCCATTTAAAAAGAATGATTGTTTTTTTGCAACTTGGAAGAGTATTTTCTGGGTCCAGGAGTCAAGTATATTTTCTAGTTTCAGAAATTAACAGCCTTTTTAAAATTTTTTCAGAAACTTGCAGCCGGATCTCCTTACCCAGCCCCAGGGAGAGTAGCGGGTTTGGCCATCCTCGTGCTGCCCCCTGGAAAGGGTCACACTCGCATATTTTTCCCAGAGCACTTCAAGTCCCCCTTGAGGAAGGTCTTCCATGAGTCCTAAAGCTCCATCTGAGATTTTGGCAGGCAAGGGAACTGAAACACAAATAAGTAGGTATCTGTGCTATATCCAAGGAGCCAGCTCTCAACAGAAGGACCAGAACTTTCGTCAGAAAAGCAGGGAGAAGGAAAAGAGGAGGCAATGTATGCATGCACCTGCAGGGTGCAAAAGAGAGGGAGGGGAGGTTGTGGGAGAAAAGGAAGGGCCCGGGAATGAAGAGGTGCTGCAGGTTCACTCAAAAACCCAAGAGACAGGAAGAGACACTAAAAGGACTCAAGGCCAGGCATGGTGGCTCACGCCCAGCAGTTTGGGAGGCCGAGGCATGTGGATCACCTGAGGTCAGGAGTTCGAGACCAGCCTGGCCAACATAGCAAAACCCCATCTCTAATAAAAAAAAAAAATTACAAAAATTAGCCAGGCATGGTGGTGCATACCTGCAATCCCAGCTACACGGGAGACTGAAGCATGAGAGTGACTTGAAGCCAGGAGGCAGAGGTTGCAGTGAGATCTCACTACTGCACTCCAGCCTGGGCAATAGAGCGAGACTCTTGTCTAAATAAATAAATAAATGGACCTAATTTCATACCCATAGGTGACATTTTCACTTTGATTCTTCTCCCAGATGTTACAATCTTAAATATATGAAACTGAAGATGTGCCACTTCTCTCAAGTGACTTGCTTAAGTCTCATCTGCCTCTTCTCTCAACTTACTTTGGCTCTACCTGTGATGGATTCCTACTGATTCCAAACGTGCCACGTGCCTTCCCATGAAGATGCTTTTGTATGTAATGAGCCTGCCTGGATGCCATTTGCTCTTTTCTGTGCCCGACAAACTCCTGCCCATCTCCACCAAGCCCACTGAAATGCTGTCTTCTCTACGAAACCTTATCAGATTCCTGAACCAGAGCTGTTACGTGTTCCCCCCACTCGCTTTCTTGCATACGACTCACATCTCCCTTGTGGCACTCTTGACATTCCATCTTAATTGTTCGTCTGTTTTCCCCATTGGACTGTGTTAACTCAGGAGCTCCATCAATACCGGAGGGTGGAATGAAGGGAGGTCAATCTTAAGGCCTCCATTCATGGTGGGTCAATGTGCTTTATAGTAAAGGATAACACAGCCTAGAATTGAACAGGGCCAAAAGCAAGTTGCCTTGATTAGCTCTCTCACAAGGTGTTATTGTGGTGGCAATGTCTACATAGACAATCATGAAGTAGCTCTGTCCTCATTCAACTTGGTGGAAAAATCTTAAGACTCAGACCCAAGAGACACCATTAACTGATGAGGTGACGTTCTAAAATCCACTTACCCTCAGTTTTCTCACCTGTCAATGTCATTAGTGCTATTTCCTTCACCTTTGCTCATGCATTTTTGAGGTTAAAAGAATAAACTGGCCAGGTGCGGTGGCGCATGCCTGTAATGCCACCACTTTGGGAGGCTGAGGAGGGTGGATCACGAGGTCAGGAGTTCGAGACCAGCCTGGCCAACATGGTGAAACCCCCCACCCCCATCTCTACTAAAGGTACAAAAAATTAGCCAGGCCTGGTGGTGCACACCTGTAATCCCAGCTACTCAGGAGACCGAGGCAGGAGAATTGCTTAAACCCAGGAGGCGGAGGTTGCAGTGAGCCGAGATCATGCCATTGCACTCCAGTCTGGGTGACAGGGCAAGACTCCGTCTCAAAAATAAAATAAAATAAAATAACAGATGTGTAGGCACCTAATGGTTGTATAGGAAAATGATAGTCTGATTGAATTTCCTTAAATTTTGCCTCCTCCTCCCATCTCACCAGTCTCCACCTGTGAGTAAAGCAAGCCGGTAAGAGGATCAAGAACCATCTTACTCTCTTCTCCAAAGCTTGAGACACCTCTGTGGGATCCTACAAGATCTAAGAACATAGTTTGAAAACCTCTGCACAAATGCCTTCATACTCATTTGTCCAGGCCACAGTGAAAACAGGCAAATATCTGCACTGGAGATGAGCAAACTTAGGGGAGTAGTCCCATGGAAAAAATAATAATTATTATACACTGCTTGTATCTCATGAGAGCCACAAATTAACCATCTTAATCCCTAGTCAAGGAAACCTGTAAAAAGAGCATATATGTTAATTATAAAATAAGGCTGCAGGTGGGGTGCGGTGGCTCATGCCTGTAATCCCAGCACTTTGGGAGGCTGAGGCGGGCAGATCACAAGGTCAGGAGTTTGAGACCAGCCTGGCCAACATGGTGAAACCCCGTCTCTACTAAGAAAAATGAAAAAAAAAAAAAAAATTAGCTGGGTGTGGTGGTGGCCACCTGTAATCCCAGCTACTACGGAGGCCGAGGCAGGAGAATCACTTGAACCCAGGAGGTGGCGGAGGTTGCAATGAGCTGAGATCACACCATTGCACTCCAGCCTGGGCGACAGAGTGAGACACCGTTTAAAAAAAAAATAAGATTGCAATGTAATTTGAGCCTTTGCTGGAGAGAAAATATTTTGCTAATAATATAGTCAGAAAACCCATTCAAATGAATGACCAATACCAGCACAGGCATATCCTGACTCAGAGCTCTTTAGAGTCCTGCCATCCCAGGCTCTGCCAACCCTTGAACTCTCAAAACACTCAAAAAGATTCCCACAAGTCAGTGTGGAAACAGTTGTTCTGAGGGACCAATTCCTGCTCTATAGGCAGCCAGTGTTTAGATACACAGAAAAGTCCTGATTTGCCATTGGAATACAGCCAAGGTACAGGAAGAATCAAGCCCTAAATAAATGAGAAGAAACTTTTCTAAGATTAGGTTTTATCTTCTCTTTAGTCAATGTAGTCAGGCATCTTCGTTTATTGCAGCTGCTATCACAAAATACCATAGACTGGGTGGCTTATAAGCAACAGAAATTTATTTCTCACAGTTTTGGAGGCCGAGAAGTCTAAGATCAAGGTGCTGGCAGATTTGGTGTCTGGTGAGGTCCCCCTTTCTGCTTCATAGATGATGCCTTCTGGCTGTATTCTCACATGGTGGAAGGGGTGAGGGAGCTCTCTGGAGCTTCATTTATAAGGACACCAATTCCTTCTATGAGAGCTCGACCCTCATGACCTAACCACCTCCAAAAGGCCTCACCTCCTAATATCATCATATTGAAGATTAGGTTTCAATATATGAATCCAGGGGAGAAACAGACTTACAGACCACAGCATCAGGTAACCACTTCCTTTGCCTGATGTGAGCTGAAGGCATCTTTTGGTCAATATTAAACACTGTGCTATGTGAATCAGGAATATTGAGGCAAAACAAACTACGGTACTTGTTAAACTTACTATTGGGATGAGGAAGAAGTTTCCTCTCCCATGATGAGATAATTTTGTGTAAACTTAAAAAAAAATTATTCCAAACATAAAGGAGGAAAGTTAAGAGGATCTACCCCAAGCTCATAAATTCTACTTTATTTTGAATTCTGTTGTAGTACTTTCATATTTTCATGCAGAAAATCTAATCAGCTGCACAGTGCACACTAAAATATAATACATTTATATGTGGCTTTCTCATACACAAATTGAGACATCGACTGACTAGGTCAGTGCAGTAATTAAAAATCTTACCGAGGCCGGGCGCGGTGGCTCATGCCTGTAATCCCAGCACTCTGGGAGGCCGAGGCGGGCGGATCACAAGGTCAGGAGATCGAGACCATCCTGGCTAACACAGTGAAACCCCATCTCTACTAAAAAAAATACAAAAACAATTAGCCAGGCATGGTGGCGGGTGCCCGTAGTCCTAGCTACTGGGGAGGCTGAGGCAGGAGAATGGCGTGAACCCGGGAGGCGGAGCTTGCAGTGAGCTGAGATCGCACCACTGCACTCCAGCCTGGGCGACAGAGCAAGACTCTGTCTCAAAAAAAAAAAAAAAAAAAAAAAAAAATCTTACCGAATCTAGGATCTTCATTCTCCATAATACCTGAATCATTTAGGGTTTGGTTTGGCTATGTGTGACAGAGGAAAAAAAATAGATTGAAAACAGTGGCTTAAACAAGATAGAAAGTTTTTTTCTCTGTCATGTGAATGAGGCCCAGAGGTGAGCTGTCTGGGCTTATTTAGCACCCAGGGTCTTTCCAGCTCACCTTCCTCATGCCTCACCTTCAGAATCCAAGATGGCTAAATCCATCTTCAAGGCAGCAAGTCAGAGGCAGTGATGGAGAGGAAGAGAGCAAAGGTGCATGCCAGCTGTCTCTCATGACTGTTTTTCAAAACCTGCTGTGGATACTTTTGCTTTCCTGCCATTGGCCACGATCCCTGATTGGCAATTGTGAAATATCACAATTAAGTGGTCTACTAGGGAGTGCTGCCACGCTGTACTAGAAAGGTGACATAAATTATAAAATCAGAAAAATGCTGAAGTCCGAAACACCAAGTTTTTCAGAAAAGCGAGAGTGGAATGGTATTGACAAATTTTCATAGAAGTCTAGCGGTATCTAAGGATAAGATTATTACTAAGGTTATCTATTGTTCTACTATCTAGATCTTTCCACTCCACTTTCAAATTATGCATCGTGGTAATAGGTATGACGTCTCTAACTTCCTTTCAGATCAACACCTCTCAAATATGGTGTCCATCACGCACTGAAAATCATTGCAATCAGGCTATTGAGTGTGCCACCAGTAATTTGAGTATAAATCCCCCAGTAGTAAGAAAAATTCGACAACTAAAAGTATATCTTCTTAAAAGGAGATTGAGATTTGAAAACACAATATCCTTGTGTTCCAGATGGGAATATTTTAGAGATTCCCTTCAATTTTACCAAAATAAAGTAGACATTCTTTCCTGGTACAGAGAGCTGAGGTGTCAATAAAGAGCTATATTTTAATAATGTTAATAAAAGGCACAATGGGCCGGGTGCGGTGGTTCACGCCTGTAATTCCAGCACTTTGGGAGGCCGAGGCGGGTGGATCACCTGAGGTCAGGAGTTCAAGACCAGCCTGGCCAACATAGTAAAACCCCATCTCTGCTAAAAATAAAAAAATTAGCCAGGCATGGTGGTTGGCATCTGTAATCCCAGCTACTCGGGAGGCTGAGGCAGGAGAATCACTTGAGCCCAGGAGGCGGAGGTTGCAATGAGCTGAGATTGTGCCACTGCACTCCAGCCTGGGCAACAAAGCAAGACCCCATCTCAAAAAGAAAAGAAAAGAAAAGAAAAAAAGGCACCATGACGTATGTGGTTTTTATTTAGAGTAGAATATTGTATTCTCTGGGGGCCTCAGAGGCAGTTGAATTTGAAATTCTGAGATGCTCTTATAAGGCGTCCATTTTCAGTGTCCAGTTTTAAGATTTTTGTTCCCTGCTTTGTAATATTTTTTGTAGGTTCTCTCCAGGCTTTCAGTTAAGTGTACCAGAAGTGTGGCTCAGCCTGGGAATTCAGCTACAAGGCGTCAGAGCCTGACCAGCCTAGAGAAAAATAGGGCAGGGTTGGGTACCAAACAACAGTGACCAAACTGGTCAGGGACAAGAGGGAGGTTTGCAGGAACACAAAGGCCTTCGTCAGAGAGTCCCAGAGCGTTCTGAAGTTTCAGACAGCACCTACTAAACGTTAGTGACTGCCTAAGTGATGAAAGGAAAGAGAAAGGTACCAGGGTATTGCAGCTGAGATTGAGACTGGATACACACCGTGACTGAATTTGAAAAACCAGTTGATGGTGATCTGCCTCAGTCTCTTGCCTACCTGCTTCTCGGCCTGTCCCTCCCTGGGGACCAATGGTGAATCCTGAGAAGAAAAAGGCATTGTCCTTATAGCTACACAGAACACAGGAAGCTTCTGGCACATGTAACTCAGGATAGTGCAAACATGTGAGGACCTTGAAGATTGGAAGCCCCAGGATATAGCACCCTAAGCAATGGCACTGTCTCCATGAGAGTATCGGCAGGAAGACTGGTGATGAGGGGACTTCCTCAAAAAGAAGGCATTGCCACAGGTCCAAGAAATATCAGGACAAGACTCAGTCAGGAATACAAAGGTCAACCAGAAAAATCTATGTTCATGCTGTTAGCGCACGCTGTCCTCTGAAACCTAGTAAGGAATATGATGTTGTAAGGGACTATTAAGGTCACCAAATATGAAGGGTTCAGTCAACTATGATGGGAACACACAGTGGAGAAAACATGTGAATCATGACAGAGCACTATGAAGTGCTAAGTGAGGCAGAGACCAAATCCTCTGAGAACAGAGGAGAAGATACAATGGACAACACGCAAGGCATGAGATGGGGGAGGCCTCCAGGAGGAGGCAACATTTGAAAGCAGAGATAAGTGCCCAGCACTTTGGGAGGCCGAGGCGGGTGTATCACGAGGTCAGGAGATCGAGACCATCCTGGCTAACACGGTGAAACCTTATCTCTACTAGAAATACAAAAAATTAGCTGGGCGTGGTGGCGGGCGCCTGTAGTCCCAGTGGGAGGCTGAGGCAGGAGAATGGTGTGAACCCGGGAGACGGAGTTTGCAGTGAGCCCAGATCGCACCACTGCACTCCAGCCTGCGCGACAGAGCGAGACTCCGTCTCAAAAAAAAAAAAACAAAAAGAAAGAAAAGGCAGAGATAAGTGAAAAACAAAGTCAGCATCCACATGGAGTCGACATCCTTAAGAGAGAGACAAATGTGCACTCGGGTGCAGGGGTTTCACAGAGCCAAAAAGTAGATGAAAGAAGCTCACAGTGGAAGGACGTAGGGTGGCCGCAGGGGGAGATACTGCCTAATTCGCATCAGAAAATCATCATGATCACCACTGTGATTCAGAAAGATCACTCCTCCAGCAGTGTCATGGAAACACTGGAGAGATTCTACCAGGGAGACAAGTTAGAAAACCATTTCAAGGATACAGGTGGGAGTCAAGGCCAGAACTAGGAGTACTCTGCTTATTCCAAGTCACAAAACAGACCATTTCCTCACTTACGTCTCCATTCCCACCCCCTTGTACTGGGCACCTCTGGAGACATCTTCAAAACACTTGTTTCATTTGTTTTCCTAAAACTGAAAAAAAAATATGCGAACAATCTGTAGTGGCAATCTATCATTTTCATAAAGGCTCAAAGTCAAATGTGGGTTGTGGGGGTGGGGGATGGAGAGCCTACAGATGCAATTTTCTGTTGAAAGGCCATTTGAAGAAAACTGAAATTCGTGGTGAAGGAAGAAGTGTTCTGCTTAACAGTTTTAAGTTTCCTATGGGCCTTCCTGAGTCATCAACTGACTCATTCCACCTGCTGAATTTTATTATTAATTCAAAAAAAATTCTGATAACAATAGAGTCGAAATTATATTGCATGTTTTGATTTCTTTCCTCCCATTGCATAATTCTCCAGTTTTGCCCACATTTTGGCAGTTACTCTCACTACCCATGCAACAATGAGAAACATTCGTTTAAAAATATTTCCAACCCCCTCATGTTCACATGACATTGTTTCAATTCTAACTTTTTTTCAGTTCTTATATAAGATCCATTGCTATCTAATATTAGATCATTGTATTACATGTGACATACTTCTAATATATGGTAGGAGTTTGACAGATCCTTGATTTGGTTCTTCTCTAAAGCCAAAAAACAAAAACAAAAGGAGCATTTTGTATATGAATGATCAGTCCCAATTTAAGTGCTTGTTAGATTTGTTTTTTAGTTAAAATTTTGTTACTTTGAGAAGAAATATATTTATTGCAATTATTCATATAGGTAAATATGAGTGCATGTATGTGTAGTGTATGCCATAAATGTAGAGATCTAATCTGATTAATGATCAAAATTCAGTAAAATTGAAATAAAGAAGCCCAAGTTGCCCTCACTTGTCCTTCAGGTGTGAACTCTGAAGGTCTCTAAGATAACTAGAAATGACCACCAAGCAGAAGGGACATTCCCGCTTGAGGTGAATGTTTCTCTTAGCCTTCATAATTTGGGTGAAAACTGTCTTGACACTGACTGGACATTGACTATATTATATTTGAACCAAAAATATGAAATAATCTTTGTCACCAATTTTACCAAGTCAGTATAAAATTGTCAATATTAAAAATATGGTCTGGAAGATGATATGTAGGTTTGAAATTAACTTAGGGATAAGATAGTTGCTTTAGGAAAATGGATCCGATTTTTTTTGAAATGGCCTCTCACTCTGTCGCCCAGGCTGAAGTGCAGTGGCATGATCTTGGCTCACTGCAACCTCCGCCTCCTGGGTTCAAGCAATTCTTCTGCCTCATCCTCTCGAGTAGCTGGGACTACAGGTGAGCACCACCACACCTGGCTAATTTTTTTTTTTTTTTTTTTTTGTATTTTTACTAGAGACAGCATTTCACCATATTGGCCAGGCTGGTCTCGAACTCCTGACCTCGTGATCCGCCCGCCTTGGGCTCCCAAAGTGCTGGGATTACAGGCATGAGCCACTGTGCCCAGCCTGGATCTGATTTTTTCACATAGGCTGAGAGTGAAGAAGAGGAAGACAGAGGGCAATGGTGAGAAGGAGAGAACACAGTTTGTCCTTCCTCTGTTGAGTTTTTACACAGCTGCCACTCCTCAAAGGCTAGGATTTCCTCCAGAGCCCCAGCCTTGTGATTTGCACATTAAGCTACTAGGCCTTGGGCCTCTCCCCATGAAAACATGCAATTGCTTAACCCAGGTAAGCCAAATATAGTAAAGATTCTAAAAATGTGAATTTTTCTTACACAAAGTTCCAGTCTATACCAATGTATTTCCACATGGTTTGGCAGCATCTTCAACCTGTCTGCTCAAGTTGAAAACGTTTCAGCTTCCAGCTTTCAGCTGCGTAGGGGCTTAAGGAGGGGTAGCAGGGTAGAGGTGGTGCAGAAAACAAAAACTTTGCTATAAAATCTTGGGAAAGATAAATAAAAATGAGGAAAACTGTACTTGCGCTTAGAACTACACTTTAGTGTTTGCAATGAGAGAGTAAGACTTAGAATCATCATAGAACAAAAGCTTTTTCCCAGCTCAAGCATTCAATTACCTGCATCTCAGAGAACCATGGAAGACCAAGGAGGAAGGACTGGACAAAGAGCCCCAGAATGTTAGTGTCAGAAAAGCACTGAGTCTCTCATAAGGCCAGACAGCAAACACAACTTCATATACACATCTTTGCAGAAAAGCAAAACAAAGTTTCAATGATCTCCTTGGAAAATCCTGAAAAGTGCCTAGTCGACAAGAGATGGCAAAAAGGAAATGGATGTATGGATTGGTACTTTTTTTTACTTTACATATAAGGTAACTAAGGTTCAGAAATATTAGGACACAGAGTTATCCATCCACCATATGTGTAAAATGGCATTTAGATTGCCTATCTTTAGTGCCTTATCTTTATTGACCTAGTCAAGTAGAAACAAAAATCTTTACAAGAATTTTTCCTAAACATGAGATTGACCATGTTTCTTTCAATCCTATTTTCTGCACAGGCCCTAACATTCTCCTCCGGTAGGTTCTCCCTCCACAGAGAATCTCAGCTACTCCCTGGGTTTGGGGAGAGACCACACTTGATTTTTAGCTAAAAACAGCTCTGTTAAAATATATATATATATATATATATATATATGTATAAAATTAGTTACTATTTTCCTCATCTCTATCCTAAAAAAAAAAAAAGTCTAGAAGCAAGCAGGGCAACAATTATTATTTTCAATATGCAGATGAGGCAAATAAAACTTCAAGGGGCTGGTGATTGCTTAAGATAATTTATATAATTTATAGAGAATGCACCAAACTCAAACCTCGGTTCTCCATTTGATTGTTTGTTTCTAAATCTCAGGTCTCTCCCCTCTCTGCCAAGTAGATAATTCCGAGTGTGATTTATTTACAGAAACACAAACCTGCACAAAAGTTAGGCACCTCGCTAACGAACTTCTGTATGTACCTAAATCCTGCCTAATGTAACTCTAAATGTTTTTGTTTTTCTTTTTGTGCTTTTCCCCCTGCGTCTATAATGGATATCTTTGAACTTTAAAAAAGATACTCCAGGGGTGACTACCACAAGCTTAAGGATACCTGGAAACTTCTTACAAAAGACCCTTTGGCATTTCATCTAGCCTTGAGCTTCTCTTCCAATAGGGCAATCTTTTATTGTCTATTAGGTAAAAAGACAAATGAATACATTTAGCCTCATTAATATTACTTTTCTACTAGAATGTCTCTCTTGTTACTCTTCTTCTGTCTCCCCAATAGAATAAAACATTCATCCACTTATTAAGAAATATACACTGAGTGCATGTTCTTTGCAAGGTGCTAGGGGACCAGTCAACCAGTTGAACCTGTAGTAGCTCAGGAGGGAGGGCTGGGGCTTGGTGGGTTGTGCTAGTCTGGTTTGGGTACTACTTTAAATAGTGATTAGGATTGAGACTCTGCTAGTCCTTCTGGGAAAAGCTAAGACTGGAAATGTAGGGAATGCCCTCCCTGTGAACAAAGGCAAAAGACTTATCATGGGAAAGTGAATGGGCACCTATTATTCTAGAGACAAAGATGGAGGTAGGTCAAAAACCTCGAGTTGAAAGCAGCCAAAGTATAAAGAAGAAATATCAGGAAAGGGAGAGCAGAGTCCAGGAATTAGTCTGTCCAAGCTGGGGATCTTGGTGACCAGCAGACTCCAGGTGGCCAGGATCAGCCCCAAGAATAAGGAATAAGCAGGCAGATGTTTGCACCACAGCCTTTGGAAGATTCTGTAGCCCTTTGTGGCAGACTATAATCAATGTGAACCCCAAATATCACTTGCTATGATGTTCCAGGTCCTACAGCCTATCCGAGACTGGTTGGTGTGGTAGGAAGAATTGAAAACCTTCCTGTTCTCAGAAAGCCATTCTGGGATCAGACAAGGCTGATTGGGAATAGTGTTGGCTCAAATGGAGGCCTTCTCAGCTGATACAGGAGCTCTTTCTAGCAAAGAGAATTCAAGGATGGTGTTTTGGACAATCAAACCAAGGATATTACTTCCAAGAAGTAGAATGACTTTCCTACCTGTTCTCTTTTCACTGACCCCTTGTCTACCCAGACAGGGAACATGGCCTCTTTCCTTTGAAAGGACTAGAGAGATGAAGGAAATTAAATAGTAACAACATGAATAAACAATTTAAAATTAAATGTTAGACATTCCTTCTTTTTTTCATTTCTTTCAGTCACCACCACTAACAGGAAATCCTAATTGGCTAGCACGTCTCATTAGACTTTCAGAAAACCAGGCTCATTCTCACTTTTTCTCCTCCTTACCCCTCTTCATTCCTCCTGCAGAGGACATCAGCTATCTCTTAGGTTCTTTGTTTCTCTCCAGTCCAGTCTCTTGAGCACTCAAACACTGCACCAACAGTTCTCTATCAACATATTTTATTTAAATAAAAAGATTTCAGTCTAAGAATAAGTAATGCTACTCTCTTTGGGGCTAAAGCAGTTGAAGTTGATTTTAGTAGCATCTTTCTCCTTTTCTGTGACAAATAGTTGGCCCTCCATTCACATTAGAATTGCAAACCAAGCCCAGAATACAAAAGACATAAGATGAAAATTTATAGATAGATATGTGTGTGCATATATGTGTGCATGTGTGTCTAGCTGACCCTTGAACAACATGGGGGTTAGTGGGGCTGACCCCCTACATAGCAGTAAATTTATGTAAGATTTTTGACTTTCCAAAAACTTAACTACTAATTGACTGGAAGCCTTAGTAATAACATAAACAGTTGATGAGCACATATTTTATATGTTATGTGTATTATATTCTGTATTCTTACAATAAAGTAAGCTAGATAAAAGATGTTGTTAAAAATTATAAGGAAGAGAAAATATATTTACTCTTCATTAAGTGGAAGTGGATCATCATAAAGGCCTTCATCCTCATCATCTTCATGTTGAGCAGGCTGAAAGGAGGAAGAAGAGGAGGATTTGGTCTGCCATCTCATAGGTAGCAAAAGTGGAAGAAAATCCACACATACATGGGCCTGCATAGCTCAAACTCACGTTGTTCAGCTATATATATATACAGTTATATATATATATATATATATATATATACAGTTATATATATATATATATATATATATACAGTTATATATATATATATATACAGTTATATATATATATATACACATACATGTATAATATATGCATATTATATACATATACATGTTTAGCTCATAAAGCAGGAAGCCTGATTACTTAGCTCTGTAGTGTGGTTCTTGGATCAGAAGAGAGCCAGAATCAAGATCTACTAAATCCTCAAGTCAGTGAATGAAGACTGAGCTCACTGTCCCATCCGCCAAGGCCAAGACTCATAAGTCTAAAGCAACCCAATGTCTATGGGAAGAGGCCAAGAAGGACACCGACATTAAACAGATGTAGGACTGAGTACCCAGACAGACTCTGAGTTTGGAGCCAACTCCACACTTGCTGTAAAACAGGAGAAGTGAAAAAATATAATTAACTTTAAATAAAGGATAATCATATTGGTTAACTAAAATCCCCTTTTGCCAGCCCTCAATTGCACCCTCTTGTATTCAATTACGAATAATTGATATAAAGTAGATATGACTTCAAAGACATATCATTGAAGATATACACTTTTTAAAATATGTCTCCTCTAATCATCCATAGAATCTTAAATGCATACATTTCAGAAATCTGAGATAAATTCCTAATGAATGCATATTACTATATATTTTAAAGTCATAAATGTAATTTGATAAACTTGCAAATTAATTTAGCAAGGAGCCATTTTAGAAAAGTGACTGATAAGCTGCTAATTTTATTTACTAAAGATAATTTAAGCAGATACTTATAAATTCATTAAGGGGTGAATCATCTTCCATTCTACAAGTTTATACTGAATATTTAGGACATGTGTTCACCATACTAAACTAGGGGGAATGCACCACTGAACACAGTATACATTTAAATAATGTTATTTAAGCAAAACAAGTTATATATACTAGGTCTTTTGTTCTAACAAATTTATCTTAATAAAGCAAATGTACGTGTGTGTGTGTGTGTGTGTGTGTGTGTGTGTCTGTGTGTTAATGTTGGCTCTTTTAAGTATGAAATTTGGAAATTTGAGCATTAGGAACAAAAAAAATATGTGGCCGTATCAACTCAGGAAACCTTAAATATTGGGTTATGCAACTAATTCAATCTAACTTCCTTCTCACATGTTTTTAACAACTGCGAAAGAAAGATAAGCTGTCTTTTTTTTTTTTCAGTTCCCAGATGATTTTAATGTTTAGAAGAAATACATTTGAAAAGTGTTCAACCATAATAACAATGAAGTTAAAATGTAAGCAATAAAAGGCTATTTAAAACAAAATTTTATATGATCAGCTTGTGAAACAATATTGGGGTGATTCCAGTGCAATTTCTGACAGCAATCAATATCAAACGATAGGCTATCAAGAGACACCAAAATATTATATTCTTTTAGAAATTCCTCTTGGAAAAAAGAACAAAGGAAGAAAAAAGATATAAGCATAAATATTCACTGCAGTACTAACACAAAAGAAAAAAATGGAAACAACCTAAGTGCCAACTATGAGAAAGATTTAATTGTATATTTTTAATTTGCTGAAATATTATAAGGAATGTTAACAAATCAGCTAAGTTTTTGCAATAACATGGAGAAATCCTGGCCGTACAATGTTAATTGTAAATGTCAACTATATGATCACTCCCATACTATGGTTTTAACTATTAATATTATAAACAAGTAATGGAAAAGCAATTTAGAAGACAAAATAAAAAGAGGTCTGCTATAAAATAAAAAGCTATCATGAGAACCACTCCACCCGATCCCAGACCTCTGAAGTGGGGTATTATGTGCCTGTTATTATGGGGGAAACATCTGCTGGTAGATCAGATGCTGTTTTAAGGAAGAAATAAAAGAATTATGCACGTGTGTTGGAGGAAAAAGAAAGAAATTGCATGGGGGAAACATTATTCTTGTTTTATTCTCAAAATTAAAACATAGGTGATAATATAGCCTAAGCAGATATGTATATTGTTGTTGATTGTGTGCCCCAAAAAGTCATGTTTAAGTCCTAAACTCCAAGACCTTGGGTGACCTTATTTGGAAATAGGGTTTCTGCAGACGTCATCAAGTTAAGATGAAGTTATACCAGGATGAGGGGAATGACTGGTGTCCTTTTTTTAAATTTAAATTTAAATCTTTAATTTAATTTTTTTATTATTATTTTTTGAGATAGGGTTTTGCTCTTGTTCCCCAGGCTGGAGTGCAATGGTGTGATCTTGTCTCACTGCAACCTACACCTCCCAGGTTCAAGTGATTCTCCCGCCTCAGCCTCCCAAGTAGCTTGGATTACAGGCGCATGCCACCACGTGTGGCTAATTTTTGTGTTTTTAGTAGAGATAGGGTTTCACCATATTGGTCAGGCTGGTCTGGAACTCCTGACCTCAGGTGATCCACCTGCCTCGGCCTCCCAAAGTGGTCGGATTATAGGCGTGAGCCACTGCACCAGGCCACTGGTGTCCTTTTGAGAAGAGAAAAATGTAGACACAGACACACACCCAGGGAGAATTCCATGTGATGAAGGCAGGGAGCTGCGTTCACAAGGGAGCTGCGTTCACAAGGCAAGGAAGGCCAAGGAGAGCCAGCAGAGGCTGGAAGAGACAGGAGGGATCCTCCCCTAGAACCTTCTGAGAGAGCACGTCCCTGCCAGCACCTCCACTTTAGACTTCCAGCCTCCAAAACTGAGAGAGAAGAAATTGCTGCTGTGTTAAGCTACCCAGTCTGTGGTCCTTTATCGCAGCAGCCCTAGAGGACTAACATATATAAGCAAGCTAATTAATATCCAGGGATACCGCATTCTAAAATATTACTTTCTGGTTATTAATACTTATCAGCCAAGAAATTCAAGCACTGTTATTTACATATTATAAGACCAGGCTTTGCAAAACTCTTTCAAAGTTAAGGGGCAAGTGTTAATATCATTTTGGAACTGTACCGGCAGCATGGCACTGTGACTGGGGGAGTCACAAGACACGGGTCCCAATATTGACTCCATCACCCAGTGGTGACTTTGAACAAGTCACAACCTCTCTGCGCCTATTTCTTGCTTTGTAAAATGGTGATAAGAATTGTCTCATTGGGCTATTGTGAGAACATTAGCTAATAAATGTAAAGCAATTAGAACAGTAGCTGGCCCGTTATAAGCCTTCAATAAATGTTAGCTATAATTATCATGTCTGACTAAACATTTTGGTTCTATTCCCATTTTAGAATTACAGAAATTTCACAGGCATATATTTAGAATGCATATATCAATTTGTAAATTACTTATATTCCACTATATCAACACTTCTCTCTTCCTAACTCCAAGTGATTCCTACTCATATTAAGTTATATAACCTCAAACGCCCTGATCCTAGGACCACGAGAAAAGGTGAGTGGGCAGAAGCAGGGAAGAAATGGAATATAAAGAAAAGATTGCTGATTTGAGTTCTTCTGGAATTGAAATTCTATGAAGCAGTATCAGGCAGGATCAAAGAGGATCAGAGGTTTGAGCGTGGCTGCTTGACAAGCCAGGTGCTGAGATAAGCAGCATCCTCTGCGTCAATGTAGGAAATGGGACATTGGTTTTACTTCTTCTCATGTGGATCCACAATTGAGTGAGAGTTACTCAGATGTCTGGGCTACACTTGGCCCATATTTTTGTACTCACTGGGGGACTCTACACAGGAAATACCTTCAAGCATCAGCAGAGTGTTCTGCACAGCATCATTCAAGTGAAAGGGTGAGATATTTTCAGGATAATTCAGGCAAATCAGTTGCAAATTTGTCAAATGACTGTCCCAACCATCAGTTTGCATATTAATCTGTTCATAGTTGTCACTATCCAGAGGTGGCGGAGGTTGCAGTGTGCCAAGATCGCACCATTGCACTCCAGCCTAGGCAAGAAGAGCAAAACTCCATCTCAGAAAAAAAAAAAAAAAAAAAACTTTTCAGAGGCCAGGCACGGTGGCTCATGCCTGTAATCCCAGCACTTTGGGAGGCTGAGGCAGGTGGATAATTTGAGGTCAGGAGTTCAGGACCAGCCTGAACAACATGGTGAAACCCCGTCTCTACTAAAAATACAAAACAAATTAGCTGCTTGTAGTGGTGCATGCCTGTAATCTCAGCTACTTGGGAGGCTGAAGCAGGAGAATCACTTGAACTTGGGAGGTGGAGGTTGCAGTGAGCCAAGATCACACCACTGCACTCCAACCTGGGCAACAGAGTGAGACTCTGTCTCAAAAAAAAAAAAAAAAAAAAGCTTCCCAGATATCTTACATATTTATTGTCACCATAACTACCTTGCCCATCTCTGTGGTAATTATGCCTGCAATTCTCTAGGCCTCCTCTTTAATTGTACCTCATAGGCTAGTATGAGCCTGGGCCTCCAGCTAAGAAAAGGTGGTAAGTGAACAGCTCTCACGGGGGGAAGTGTAGCACTATTCAGTGCCAGAAATTTCTGAAAGAATAGTTCATATTTCTGAAGGCCAAATCCAAAATTTGCTCCTGCTGAGAAACTAGCTATTGAGATGTCCCTGACTAATCTACTGGGCTTTCTTCTATAAATTAAGTATAAAATAAGATTGCTCTGATAAGTGGTGTATACTGTTTAATAAATTTTTAAGCATGCAACTTGCAGTAGTATTCAAACACAGTATCCAAATGGAATTTAGTCCCATGAACCAGTCCAGGTTCAAAGTCACCCATGAATAAATGCAAGAGGAAAGCAAAGCTTGACAAATACCTGTGTTGTCAACAGAACCAAGAAAAGGACATTTGTAGAGAAATGGAGGTGGGGGGACTACAATTCATATTGTCAATGGTATTGGTGCTGACATGTTGCTGGCACCTCAAAGAAATAGCTTTTATTGGATGTCAGCTTAAGAAGAAGAAAAGAAAGGAAACAGAAAAAAAAATTAGCTGAATGAGTACAAGGGAAAAGATCAATAACTCCCTCTGATGTTTTTTTGGCAAATTGGCCAAGAAAGGTCTGAAGTCTTTACTGGCTGACAATTCTGGCGTCTTTCCCAAGTAGAAATGTTGCAGCCAGAAACTGCACTTAGTGAATTTAGTGAGACAATTAGTTTGGGAATATATATTAAAGGGAAGAGCACAGACCAACAGATTGTCATCAAAGCACCTAGGTCTACCCTGATCCCATGCAATGACAACTGGTTTATGTTATCTGGGCCAGACCTCCCACTTGATGAGGACACAGAGACCCTAATGCCCAGGTTGTGTGCTCAGCACCCAGCATGAATAGTATGATCACACAACTTCTCACCCAAATCCAAACACCTTAGGAATGAAAAGAGGTACAATTAATCATCGGGCTGGGCCACAGGGGTAAACCTGCACTCTCTCAGGCAAACCACGGCATACTGACAGCCTAACAGGATACATGTGCCTCTCCCTAGAAATCCACTCATTCGTAGTCACTGACTATAATCATTGACCCAGACCTTACCCACAAGAAATGGGAGGTAGAAGGGGAGACCACTTGAGTTAAATTTGTCACTCCTGCTGGAAAATGACCTCAAATCACTTGCCCATATGGCTTGGGGACAGCAGTGCTATCCTCCTGCGTTTTTTAGACTTTTCATCCAGTCAAGCAGATTTTCAACACAGAGTTTTCATGATGGCTTAAATAGGGACAGGTAAGTGTCATTGTTATAATTAAAATGCAAACATCAACAACACAGCGATGAAGCAAAGGCATCCAACAGTTTGAAAAGAAGAGAGAGACCTGAGTACAGTCACCGAGTTCTGGTTTGCTTCCAAATGCAGAAATTCAGTTGGTTTCATCATACCATTTTTGTGGGTTCAATTTTTAGTGTTTTCAGTTTTGTAAAAACTACTTTTTTATTACCATAGAAATGTTAAGTTTTCCTCTCTCTCTCTCTCATTTCAATCTCTGTTTCTCCCACCCAACACCACCCAGGAAGTTCAATTTTGAATTGTAATAGATGCACATTTGTTTCTATTAAGTTCTGAATCAAGTCATGAAAATAAGCTAAAAATAGATGAATTAAATATGGAAAATAGTCATTTAGCCACCAGGATTCACTGACCAAAAATTTCAATTCACTCTGAGCATGCCCCACAGAGGCCGAGAGCTCCAGACACCTTCTGATGTGGCTGCCTCAAAATCACAGCCTGCTGTTTTAAGTACAGCTTGAGAAACATGTGTAATATGCGTTACTTTCAAAGCACTATCCCAAATAAAGGCCTGTTTTATCTTCGTGAGAATTTTGAGAGAGGTCCTAGAGAAAACACATTTATGCCCATTTTGCAGATCAGGAAACCGACACATGGAGAGAAATCTGGTTGCCTAGAGCCACAGAGTTGATTCAAAACAAATTCAGCAGCACTAATGTGTCTAACTTCCGTCCTGGCCTATTTTTTTTTATAAAAACAGCTAACTCAATTCTGCCACCATTTCAAGATGTTAAGATCCGTCACTTTGTCACTCATACCCATCCAATCTTTGAAGGAATCTGCTGTTGATATTTAGTCTCTGGGACACAGAATGTATAACTATGAATAACACAATCATATGATTGGGTGTTTTTTTAATGTGCTCCTCAACTGGCACTCAGTCTCAACATGTAACCCATATTTGGAGCCCAAATATGAGAGTGCTTACACCTACTTTATGTACCCTGCTGAACACAAAACCTTTTCATTTCCAAGAAACAACATTTTCATAATTGCATTAGCTCAACCACATTTTCAGAAAAATAACATGGACTCAAATGTATATGTGATGAATGGATTTGCCTTATGAAAATTTCAAGTCGCTTCAAGGTTTTGGTTCTGCATTTCCCACATTCGCATTATAATGATAGCACCATAAAATTTGATATAAATTGCTAGAATCATAAGAAATATTTTCAAAACCCCTTCTTAAAGAAGAGGTGATCATATAATGAATCATGCAAATCAGCAAACAGAACATCAGGAAAAAGGTATAAGCTGGGACCACAAATATAAATGAGGATGTCCAGTTGCCACATTGGGATATAGTATCCATCCCTCTCAATAAAGTCCAAGGGAAATAGGAGGAGAGATTTGTAAAGATCCTGTTGACATCAGATGCTGTGAATGTTCTTTGCTAACCATGACTTACTAAACCCGAACATTGAACCTTTTTGGTGACAACAGTTCATGGTAAAAGAAGTTAAAAACATTTAAATAATATTTTCACTGTGTCTGTTAGTTTGAAGAAATAGTCAGGGTAGGTGGTTGGGGGAAAGAATGAGAAAAAATAAATGTCTTTCCTTTGGGCGAAAGCCAAGGACAACCTCAAAGAAGATATTCTTCAGAGATGAAAAATCAGAGGAATGACTCTAGGAACGCGACTGAAACCCTGGGTGACATGTGACATATGGGGTGAAAGGTTTTTAACACAAGAGGCATACTAAACTTTTGGGGGTGGGCTCTGAGGCTGGGCCCTTTTTTAGGGTTCTTTGTTTTTCATTTTTGTGTGTGGGCTCTCCGTGCTTTGAAGTTCCAGCCAGCAACAAAGAGAAAAACTTGCTCTGGTGTTTTTAGTTTGGCTGAGAGCTGCGATTTAGCTAAGGCTTCCCCCATATATGGACTGTAGGCTGATGCTGCAGGGTTGGCCGAGCCTGTCATAACCCTCTCAGTGTGTCTCTGAAATGGACACGGGCTTGGGATCTTGTAAGGGAACTTGTGAAGCCATCATTACTGTACAGCTACAAAATTCATGAACACAGCTAGAAAGAATAGCCTGTTGCTATTTATCCAAAGAGGTTAAAAAACATCCAGCACACTGCCTATTAAAACGTAAAAGCAGCCGTGAGTTCTTTCATTTTGACTCCAATTCCCTGGCACTGGCTTCATGATCCTGTAGGGACCTTCTCGTTAGGACTTGTTGCTTCCACTTTCAATGTTATTAGTGGCAAAGCGTTAGGCCAACAGTTATGCCCTGTTCTTTTGTTCTTGTAGGAAACATCTGTTCTTTTGTCAGAGAGCACATGCCAAAAACTATGCGATTATAAGCAGCGAGCTCTTCAGGGAGCAGTCAAGTCATCACACACCCTGGAGCACAGACCTTGAAAACTTCCTGCACTCCCGCCTGGGTCCTGGCAGCCTCCTGGAGCTAGAGAATTGCTAAGCTAGTCACAGTGAGGTCCCCAGCCTAGGCCCCCAAGCACCCAGGCTGGAGGGAGGGAGGAAGGCAAGTGGGGAGGCATGGAATGAGGCAGAGAGTGGAAGTTAATTATCGATGAAGCTACATAAAAACATCTTTACATGCTCACTTGGCTAGAGTGTGGGGGCCACCCACATGGATCTGAACCCTCCACACCAGTGCTCACACTGTATCACACACACGGCTCATGCTAACGGGAGAAGGAGCAGAGACTATGCACACTGGGAGGCATGCAGAAAATGATGAAGGAAGCTCTCAGAAGTCCCTGCGGTTCTAACTTACCAGTTCTCTCAAAGGTGCAATGCTTATGGCTCACCCTTGCTTTCAAGGATCCACAAGCAGACTTGGGAGTCACGATGCCTGGGTCTGAATCTGGCCTTCACCCATTCTAGAGCTCTGACACTAAAGCGTTACAAGTTCATTGAGCCTCAGTTTCTTTATCTGTAAAATGATAGCAATAATGGTATCTGTCATATACCTGAGCTAATGTGTAAAATATCAGCATAGCAAAATAAGTTAAATCAATAATCTAAGTTTCTATCTTGAAAGGCTAAAAAAGAACAATAAATTAAACCCCCAAAAAGCAAAAGCAAAGAACAATAAAAATTAGAGTAAAAATAAAGTAGAAAACAAAAAAATAGAGAAAAGGTTGATTCATTAAAAACATTAATAAAGTTGACAAACTCCTAGATAGACTTTAAAAAAGAAAGAGAAAACACAAATTACTAAATTCAGGAATTAAAAAGGAGATATAACTAAAATATTTTCAGACATTAGAAAGTTAAAAAGCAAATATCATAAACAACATTATGTTAACACATTTGGTAAATGAAATGAATGATCTCCTTAGAAATACGATGAAAATCATAGAAGTCTAATATTTAAGTAGCCTTATAACCGTTAAAGAAATGAAATTCACAATCAAAATCTTTGCACAAAGAAAATTTCAGGCCCAACTGGTTTAATGCTAAATTCTTTCAAATATTAAGAGATAAAAGATAACAATCTTTAAACAAAAACACTTTTAGAAAATAGAGGAGGAATGAGCATTTCTCAACTCTTTATGAGTCCAGCGTTACACCAATACCAAGAGTAACACAGACATTTCAAGAAAAAAAATTATAGATAAAAATAATTTTTTAATATATATGTAAAAATTATCAACAAAATATTAGCAAACAGAATCCAGAAATGTATAAAAATAATATTACACCATGGCCAGGAATGATTTATTTAAGGAATGCACAGTCAGTCTACCATTGGATAATAAATCAATATAATTTACCACATTAATAAAGAAGAAAATTCACATATTCGAATAGATGCAGAAGTTGCACTTTCAAATATTCAACACCCATTCATAAGTTCTTAGAAAATTAGGAATAGGAAAACTCCCTTATCACAAGGCACCTATAAAAAACCTACAGTCATAACACACTAAATGGCAAAAAAAAAAAAAAAAAAAATGTAAAAAGAATGCTTTTCCCCGAAGACTGGGCAGAGAAAAGGATGTCTGCTGTCATTACTCACCACTATTATGCAGTAATGTGCTGAAACTCTTATACAGTGCAATAAGGCAAGTAAAAGAGAAAAGGGGCACAAAGGTTGAAAGTAAAAAATTTATTTGCAGAAGATACAACTATCTATCTAGAAAATTCTAAGGTATCTACAAAAAGAGCTACAAAAACTTGATAAGTGAATTTAATAAGATCATAGGATATCAGATGAATGGGACACAGGAAATGCTACCCCATAATATGGCACCTTGGTTTTAACTGAGTATTTTAAGCTGAAGGAAATTGAGAAAACTGCAGAAGTAGAAATGTCTCACTGACCTTCTCTTTTTCCTTCTCTGACCTTCTTCTTTCTTCTCTGAAGCATGGTCATAAAAGAATTATTTGACCTATCTCCCCTGAAAGGAAGTCATAAGACTCCTTCCAGAGAGTTCTTCCCCTCTACCCAGAGGCCAAGAAGAATCTAAACTAAAAACCATTGCTAAGGTCATACCCCCTTGTTATCCAATCATACTTCTAAGTGAATGCCCATTCTTCACTACACCCAAGCATAAAAATACACAGTTTTCCTGGGTTCTTTATTTCTGAAGTATTTCCTGGGTTCTTTATGTCATCTAAAACTTTGGTTAAGTAAATTGGTTATGCTTTTCTCTCGTTGATTTGTCTTCCTTTATAAAGGTGTCAGCCATCAACCTTGTAATGGGTGATGAAAAGATATTACTTCTTCTCCCTTACAAGGTCAATACACAATTACTACATACAATTTGAATTAACTGTATACAGACAACATAGAAACAATTTGAATTTTTTTTTTTTTTTTTTTTTTTTTTTTTTTTTTTTTTTTTTTTTTTTTTTTTTGGAGACGGAGTCTCGCTCTGTCACCCAGGCTGGAGTGCACTGGCGCGATCTCGGCTCACTGCAAGCTCCGCCCCCCGGGTTCACACCATTCTCCCGCCTCAGCCTCCCAAGTAGCTGGGACTACAGGTGCCCACCACCAGGCCTGGCCAATTTTTTTGTATTTTTAGTAGAGACGGGGTTTCACCGTGTTAGCCAGGATGGTCTCGATCTCCTGACCTCGTGATTCGCCCACCTCGGCCTCCCAAAGTGCTGGGATTACAGGCATGAGCCACTGCACCTGGCCAACAACTTGAATTTTTAAAACAATAGTATTTACACTAGCTTTTAAAAAAGTACTCAGGAATAAATTTAACAAAAGATGCCAATGACTTACATACTGAAATCTATAAAACATTGCCGAAAGAAATAAAAGATATAAATAAACTGAGCAATATATCATATTCATGAACTGGAAGACTCAACGTTAAGATAAGCATTTTCCCAAACTGATCTCAGCTTCAAGGCATTCATGATTAAAATCCTATCAGACTATTTTATAAAAATTAATAAGCTATATTAAAATGTATGTGGATATGCAAAGGACCTAAGATATAGCCAAACAATTCTGGGAAAAATTAGAGGACTTTCACTGCCTAAGTTCAAGTCTTCCCATATAAAGGCACAAAAATCAAGACAGTGTGGTTTTGGTGTAAGGATAGACACATAGGATACAGAAACAGAACTGATTCCAGAAATAGATCCAAATTCATATGGTCAATTAATTTTCACAAAGACACTAAGTCATTTTAACAAAGCAAGTGTAGACTTTTTATTCAGTTGTCAATGCTGAAACAATTGGACATTGATGGGGAAAAAATGATCCTCAATCCCTATCTCACACCTTACATGAAAATTTGTTTGAAATGTATTAAAGAACTCAATATAAAAGTTAAAAAATCATAAAACTTCTATTACAGGAGACAATATCTTTACAACCCTGAGATGGGAAAAGATTTCTTAGGACACAAAAAGCATTAAACTTAAAAAAAAAAAAAACAAATTCTATTCATCAAAATTAAAACTGCTTTTCAAATGACATGTCTAAGAGAATGACAAAGTGCTACACAGACTAGGGGAAAGTTCAAACAGGTAGGTAGATATGCTATTGGGAAGGGCAGGAATCCTCAGTTCTTAGTCTTACTTGGGAGAAAGGATTCTGCCAAGTGACAATTTAGCTTAAAAAGAACTCATCGAAGGAAAATCGAGAGCAGAGAGTTTATTTAGAGAGACAATACCCTCTGAAAGATGAGGCAGAGTGGGTTGCTGTAAGAGAATGAGACAGCAGCACCCATTCTGCACTGGGTTTTTAGTATGTCGGATTTTTTCTTGAAGTTCTTGCCTCTTTCTTAAGTCTCCGCCTTTTTTCCTTGTCTAATTTTTCCTGCTTCTGCCTTAAGTTGCCATCTTTTCCCCTCCCGGTCCCCACTCCAGGCTTGTGAGACCCTCTCTTAATATTAGTTGGTGCTCATGCATGAGCCTGGTGTTGGATACCCATTCTACCTAACGGCTGCATTGTTCATTAATGCCATCCCAGAAAGATTGTATAGCAGTCAAATCTGTACTTATTGTGCCTGCATATTTCTTAGGAATGCCCCCTTTTGTGCTTCTCCTTCCTTATCAGCATGTACCTAGGAACATTCTGATATTTTAACTGTAGAGTGAGAGATGACTAGGCATCTTAAGGGGTGTTGCTTTCTGCATAGGTATTTCTCCTCCTCTCTGCTCATATCCAGTATGCATGTTTTGGATAGTCTCTGGGGTGTGAGATTTTCCAGACCTCCCTTTTCTCAGGGGCTCCCCACTCCTACTCATGTCTAGCTATTTGCCTACTCTAACAGATAGGTAGATAGATGATAGATAGATAGATAGATAGATAGATAGATAGATAGATAGATAGATAGATAGACAGACAGACATAGATAGGTAAATAGATGGTAGATAGTAGCTAGATAGATAGACATAGATTAGACAGATGATAGATTAGATCATTTGATTGATCATTTGATAGATTCAATAGATTAGATATAGAGATAGATATTTGACTGATTGATTTAGATGGATGATTGCTGGACAGAATGATGGTAGATAAGACACTTTTTGTACAGATGTGTCTTCTTTGTGTTTCCCATAATTCTTGTCCCTCATGTCTGTGTTACAGAAGCAATGATCTAAATACATATATAAGCCAGTAAAGTGAACGCCAACAAGGTGTCATCTTTAGTCAAGGAAATAGGAACAAGAGCTCAAGACCGAAGCCCTCCAGCAGGGGAGAACATAAGTGTTAAAAATCACAAGGCATTCTCTGAGAAGTAGGCAAAAGTACAGTGTTATATCATACCATGCGACACAATCAGACCATCATCAGCTTTGTTAAAATAAAATTCCCTGTGATGTTTATCTGATTTGGCCCACCCTTGGTGGTAGAACCCAAATATTTTACATAGCAATAAAGTGTTCTTGTGATCAGGCATTTTCCACTTGTATTATATGTTTTGAGTACCCAGTATTGATCTGAGGGCTTGAAAAATATTAGCCCATTTAATACAATGACCTTATGAAGTAGGTGCTCTTATTGTTATTTCCATTTTATAAGTGAGTGAAGTGATTCACAGAGCCTTGAAATTATCTGCCCCACATCACAAAGTTAGTCAATGGCAGAATCAAAACTCATCCCAGGCAGGTGGACAGCAGTTTCTCGGGCCCTAACTTGTTGATAAGGAATGATCCCCCTCGCTCCTCCCTGTTCTAAAATGAGAGCTATACATTTTATGCACACACATGTACAATGCCAAGTGGCTTTGCTATCAGTCTCCAGGACCACTCACTGAGGAGTGATGTCAACCTTCTAGCAGTGTCAGTAAAGGAATCATTTTAGCTGAACTGAAGTGTCTTCTTTGTGTGTCTATAGTTCTTGTTCCTCAAAGGGTGATCTCAAAAACAGCAGCATCAGCACCATCTGGGAATGGGTTAAAAATGCAATTTCTCTAGCGGTGCCCATGACTGACAGAATCAGAAGCTGTGGGGTGCATTCTAGCCTCTGATTTATCAAATGCCCTCCAGGTGATGACCAGGAGGGTAACATGGGAGAGTCACTGGTCAAGGGGACTGCCTTTTCGCTTGAGGGTTCTGGTCACTCTTGGCATTTATTATCCATTGACTCAAACTTCCATCTTTAAGCACCGAGCCTTTAACTTTTGATTTGGAGTGAGGGCTTCGTTTTGTTAAAATCTTGAAAGCTGGCTATAGTGTGTGATACTGCAGCTGGTGAAGGTACGCTCAGTGTGGCTATATTGGCAACTGCATTCTTACTGGCATATCAGATTTGCTTTTTTTCTTTTTCTACTATGACCATAGAAGAAGGATGTCAAAGTCTGATTGAAATCACCATTGCAAAATTATAACTGAGACAATGAAAGAGATCTGACCTAACCAACTCCGTCTTGCTTCTAACCTCCAAGCTGTCCTTGTTCATTTCTGGGCATAGGCTGAACTAACTATGGGAGGAACCTAGCTTTGAAACAAAGAGATCACGGCCCTTTCCCAAAACAAACCCCTTTAGCCACAAGATTTGAAATTATGGGTTAGGAGTCATGTGGCTGAAGGCTGCAAGATTCTAAACCTCCCCAAATTGCTCCTGGGGATAGCATCCCTATTGTAAAACCTAAACTCGGTACTGAAGATATTTTGCAGACCATGCACTCCATCATCATCACAGCCATTGATCTGGCTGGCACCACCCAGATCAAGAAACTGACTCATCTTGTCTTGTGGTCCCCCGCCTAGGAACTGACTCAGTACAAGAGGACAGCTTTGACTCCCTATGATTTCATCTCCCACTCAACCAATCAGAACACCCTACCCACCAAATTATCCTAAGAACTCCAATCCCTGAATTCTCAGGGAGATTGATTTGAGTAATAATAAAACTCTGGTCTCCTGCACAGCTGGCTCTGTATGAATTACTCTTTCTCTATTGTAATTTTCCTGTCTTGATAAATCGACTCTGTCTAGGCAGTAGGCAAAGTGAACCCACTGGGCAGTTACACCTCTGGCAGGGAAATATTCTACCTATTTAAAGAAACAACTGAAAGTGAGTTCATTGAACAAGAATGCCATGTAACTTTCCGTGTAATTCCCTCAACCACCTTGCTGGTAAGAATGCTTCACTCATTATTGCTCAGTCACTTGGGGCCATGATAACTCTTCAGAAGAGGGAAGTTCATGTGGGCGAGAGCTGGTGTAGGCCAGGTAGAGAAGGAGGAGCAAATGACACAAACCATGAATGCAAGTTTTGTTTTTCATTGTAAAACATTACGTTTCTTCCCGCTATGAGCATCAAGCGGGAAACGATCTGTACGTTGGAAGAAAAACAAGAGTTCTACTTTAATAAAACAAGAACACACATCACCACCTACACATCGGATATCTGGCAGTAGATCATGGCTACAGGATTTATAGGAAGCACAGAAATGAAGAGGAGAAATCAAGAACTAGCCCAGAGACTGCAGGACTCATTAAAAATACCTATCTTTAATTAAGAAATGAATATCTTTGAGAAGAAAATAATGGATTGTGGAAATGAGCTAAGAGAGGAAAAGAGGTTCTGATTAAAATTACCTTCTCAAGGAGCTAGAAAAAATGTTAGGTATCTTCTAGTACAACCTCCTGATTTGACAGAAGGAGACTGAGTCACTCTGTTTGGAGCCAAGTAACTTCCAAACCAAGGTCAACTACTCCTTAGACCAAGAGACCAGAACTCAGACCCTGGTCTCTTGGCTTCAATTTGTTTTGGATGATTAAAGTCTTTATTCTTCTGAAATGTGCCAAATGATTGAACTTCAGAAAAGGGTGAAGTCACCACGGACTGGCTGTCCAGGGGGCTATTCAATTAGAACAGTAAATAAAGCTTGATTTAAGTTTTCAGTGGCATGAATATCAGAGCGGTGCAACAACCTGATCCCCTATAAGGCTCTGGAAAGGCAAACTCATAAAGTGTGAAAAATGTATCCACCGTCCAGGAAAAGAAGACCAGAACAGGCTCTCTCCTAAAGAGAAATGGACTAAATTTTCACTGGGTGGGTAAGAAGCCTCCTATGGACGCAACTTCTACTTTATGATCAGCCTAAGGCAGAGCCACAAGTCACAAACACAACTTCAGTGCTTCTATCCATGAGTCAAGCCTGCCCCTGAGTAACACAAGGGACCTTCACAGTGTCTATTAAGATAATTTTAAAAATCAAGCACACAAGAAAGAAAAGCGTCATTCTGATGCTGATTGAGGATGCTATGTTTTGGAGTTGTTTCATACAGTTCTTTAAATTTTCATAAATAGAGTTTCTGCCTCTATTTGCATTCTAAAAAGATGGTCCTTTTTCTTTCTAACATTAACATGATATCACCCTCCCCAACTCAAAAGTAAAATGAAAAGAACAGTTAAGGTTCAAAATGTTTAAATCATGCAAAAATCAAGGGAAATAAGAATAAAAAGCAATACCTCTTTGTTTCAGCCTGCCCTTGTTCCTGTGAAAATCCATCTCATTATATTCATGGGTTCTAATTTAAAGAATAACACACTCGGTGGGAGTCCAATGACTGTTAATGCTGCTATTGTTAACATCATGAATGGTGTGGGGCTTTTTCCTACCCAGGCACCACATTTTGGAACAAAGGAAAGGAACAAGGTGGCTCTGCTATTATCCAAATTGGCCTCTGGCATCCACCGGAGGAAGTGACTGAGGCCGGCTGCTCTTTCTCAGGTATCCCCGGGGAATATACACGTGTGATTAGCCTAACTGGCCACTGGGTGTGACCACGCTCCACACAAAAGGAAGCAGAGGCTGTTCTCAAGGGATTTTCCTGGCAGGGCTTAGACACGCGCGTGCACGCACACACACGTGCGCACACACACACCATGAAGTCTTCACCCTTGGAAGGGAAAGCTTAAAAAGTCAGTTCATGCTTGTTCGTGACTTCCAAGTATACACTTCGGGTCCACGTTATTCATTCTCCTTTTCTCTCTACAATTATAACCCATCTTTCTATTAGGTCTCAATGAAAGAATAAGAAGCGCATCAGTTCTGTATCCCAAATAACACAAATCAAAAGAAATCACCCCTTACACTGAATCTAAACATGCCTGCAGCAAAATCTTTCCATCCTAAAATCATATACCTCTGATTCCCACAACTAATGCTGTCTGTGGCTGGATTGCAAAGACAAGTATTTCTGGGTTTCTTTTGAAGAGCAAAGCCCAACATATTTGTGGTAGTGAATTAGACCTACATCCACTGCAGTTTTAAAGAAAACTGATTCAGGTATGCACGACAAGGACTTGAGTTCCAGTGTCATATAAGAGCACTGTGCTCAATAACTTCTCATGATACTACTGGCTAATCAGGATTTTTCATTTCCTTCCACACACTGAACAGTATTTAAATGGCAGAGCAAGGGAAGGAAGGATAAAGTCTACTATTGCAAAGAAATATTAAAAAAAGAGTAACCACTCACATTGTTTGTTTTCAGCTTTATTGAGATATAATTGACAAATAAAAATTCGTTTTTTGTTTGTTTGTTTGTTTTTGAGACGGAGTTTCCCTCTTGTCACCCAGGCTGGAGTGCATTGGCATGATCTCGACTCACTGCAACCTCTTCCTCCTGGGTTCAAGTGATTCTCCTGCCTCAGCCTCCTGAGTAGCTGGGATTACAGGCGCCCACCAACACACCCGGCTAATTTTTTTTTTTTTTTTTTTTTTTTTTTTTTGTATTTTTAGTAGAGACAGAGTTTCACCATGTTGGCCAGGTTTGGTCTCAAACTCCCAACCTCAGGTGATCCACCCACCTAGGCCTCCCAAAGTGCTCGGACTACAGGAGTGAGCCACCACACCTAGCCAAAATTTTATATATTTAAGATGTACAACATGATGTTTTAAGGTATATATTCATTGTGAAATGATTACCACAATCAGGATCATTAACACATCCATCACCTCGCGTAGCTGCCATTCTTTTTGCGGGTAGTGAGAACTTTTAAGATCTACTGTTAGCAAATTTCAAGCATACAATACAGTATCATCAGCTGTAGCCACAATGCTGTGCATTGGAACCCCAGAACTTATTAATCCTATGACTAAAAGTGTCAGAGGCATTTGAACCAGAGCAACTCCATCTTGACTAGGACTGAGTAACATAAGGCTGAGTTCTGCATTCTAAGTCACAAGATGAGACAGGAGGTCGGCACAAGATTCGGGTCATGAAGACCTTGCTGATAAAACAGCATGCAGTAAAGAAGCCAGCCAAAACCCACCAAAACTAACATGGCGACAAGAGTGACCGCTGGTAGTCCTCATTGCTACACTCCCACCAGCGCCATGACAGTTTATGAATGCCATGGCAACGTCAGGAAGTTACCCTGTATGCTCGGAAAAGGGGAGCCATGAGTAATCCACCCCTTGTCTAGCATATAAACAAGAAGAAATAGCCATAAAAATGGGCAACCAATGGCCCACCTTGCTGCCCTGCATAGGGAGTAGCCATTCTCTTATTCTTTTACGTTCTTAATAAACTTGCTTTCACTTTATGAATTAGCTTTGAATTCTTTCTTGTTTGAGATCCAAGAACCATTTCTTGGAGTCTGGATCCAAACCCCTTTCCAGTAACATCTTTCCGGCAACCAAGGAAGAGACAATGCTGAGGAAAACCCCAATCCAAAGGCCAACTATGGGTAAGTGGTGGGGTTCAGTAACATAAGCTTATACTCTTTGGCCAACATCTCCCAATTTTCCCACAACCCAGCCTCTGGCAATCACTGGTCTACTCTGGTTCTATGAGTTTGACTTTTTTAGATTCCACACATAAATGAGATCATACTGTATTTATCTTTCTGTATCTGGCTTATTTCACTTAGTATAATCTCCTCCAGGTTCATCTGTATTGCTGTAAATGGCAAGATTGGCTTTGTTTTTACGGCAGAATAATATTTCACTGTGTGTGTAAATATACACATAAAGAAAATATGGTGTGTGTGTGTATATGGGTGTATATACATATATACACCCATATACGTGTATATACATATATACACCCATATATATGAGTATATACATATATACACCCATATATATGAGTATATACATATATACACCCATATATATGTATATCGCATATATATAGCGCATATATATGTATATCGCATATATATAGCGCATATGTATATCGCATATATAGCGCATATGTATATCGCATATATAGCGCATATGTATATCGCATATATATAGCGCATATGTATATCGCATATATATAGCGCATATGTATATCGCATATATATAGCGCATATATCGCATATATATAGCGCATATGTATATCGCATATATATAGCGCATATGTATATCGCATATATATAGCGCATATGTATATCGCATATATATAGCGCATATGTATATCGCATATATATAGCGCATATGTATATCGCATATATATAGCGCATATGTATATCGCATATATATAGCGCATATGTATATCGCATATATATAGCGCATATGTATATCGCATATATATAGCGCATATGTATATTGCATATATATATTGCATATATGTATATTGCATATATATATAGTGTATATATATATATATATATATACACACACACACACACACACACATATACACCTTATTTTCTTTATGTAGTCATCCATCTATGGACACGTAGGTTGTTTCCATATCTTGGCTACTGGAATAATTCTTCTAAAAACATGAGAGTGTAGCCATCTCTTCAAGATGCTGTCATGGTGCCAGTGGGAGTGTCTTTCAGCGTCTAATACATTCCTTTGGATATATACCCAGTAGTGGTAGTTCTGTTTTTGATTTTTTGAGGACTCTCTTTACCATTTTCCTTAACAGCTGTGTTACCAGAAAAGGGTCCTGATCCAGACCTCAAGAGAAGATTCTTGGATCTCACCCAAGAAAGAACTCAACAGAAGTCCATACAGTAAAGTGAAAGCAAGTTTATTAAGAAAGTTAGAATAGCTACTCCATAGGCAGAGCAGCCCCGAGGGCTGCTGGTTGGCTATTTTTATGGTTATTTTTTGATTATATGTTAAGCAAAAGGTAGATTACTCATGAGTTTTCCAGGTAAGAGGTGGGCAATTCCTGAAACTGAGGGTTCCTTCCCCTTTTAGACCATATAGGGTAACTTTCTGATGTTGCCATGGCATTTGTAAACTGTCATGGTGCTAGTGGGAGTGTATTTTAGCATGATAATGCATTATAATTAGTGTATAATGAGAAGTGAGGACAACCAGAGGTCACTTCCATGGCCATCTTGGTTTTGGCTAGCCTCTTTACCACAACCTTTTTTTTATCAGCAAGGTCTTTGTTACCTGTATCTTGTGCTAACCTCCTATCTTATCCTGTGACTTAGAATGCCTAACCTGGGAATGCAGCCCAGTGGGTCTCTGATTCATTTTACCTAGCCTCTAATCAAGATGGAGTCACTCTGGTTCAAATGCCTCTGACAGTTATACCAATTTACATTCCCACTAACGTGAACAAGGGTTCTATTTTTTCCACAAATTGACAAACTTTGTTATTACTTGTACTTTTGATAACAGCCATACTAATAGGTTTGAGGTAGTATCTCAGTGTAATTTTGATTATATTTCCGTGATGATTACTGATGTTGAGCACCTTTTCATTTACCTGTTTTCCATTTGTATATCTCCTCTTGAAGAATATCTATTCAGGTCCTTTGCCTATTTTTAAATTGGATTACTGGGGGAGGTTGTTTGTTTGTTTGTTTTTTGCTATTGAGTTGTATGATTTTCTCATATATATATATATATATTGGATATTCAGCCCCTCTCAGATACATAGCTTGCAAATATTTTCTCCCATTTTGTAGGTTGCATTTTTATTTTGTTGGTGGTTTTGGTTTTTTTTGTTTGTTTGTTTTTGCTTTGCAGGAGTTTTTGGTATGATTCAATCCCATTTGTCTATTTTTGCTTTTGTTGTCTATGCTTTTGCGATCATATACAAAAAAATTATGGCCAAGACCAATGTCAAAGAGCTTTCTATGTTTAACTCTAGGAATTTTACAATTTCAGGTCTTACATTTAAGTATTTAATCCATTTTGAGTTAATTTTTGTGTATAGTGTAAGATTGGATTCTTAAATCCAATTTCATTCTTTTGCCTGTAGATATTCAGTTTTCCCGACACCATTTGTTAGAGACTATCCTTTCTCCATGGTGTATTCCTGGAACCCTTGTCAAAGATTAATTGGCTATTTATGTGTGGGTTTATTTCTGGGCTCCCTATTTTGATCCATTGGTCTATATGCCTATTTCTAAGCAACTAAGAGAGCATACAGGATGTAATGCTTTATTTATGTAAAAATAAAAATTGTACCATACTGCATTGATTACTATAACTTTGTAATATAGTTTGAAATCAAGAAGGGTGATGCCTCCAGCTTTGTTCTTATTATTCAAGATTGCTTTGGACTTTGAGATCTTTTGTGGTTCCATATGTGTTTTAGGATTGTTTTTACTATTTCAATAAAAAATGCCATTGGGATTTTGAATGGTATTGCATTGAATCTATAGATCACTTTGGGTAATGTGGACATTTATACAATATGAATTCTTCCAATCCATGGACATGAGACATCTTTCCCTTTATTTGTTTTCTTCAGTTTCTTTCATGGATATTTTATAGTTTTCAGTGAGCAAACCTTTAGGCTCCTTGGTTAAATTTAATCCTAAGTATTTTACTCTTATTGATGCTATTCATTCACATTATTTTAATCCAACCTTTAATTACCTTTATTCTCAGTTTCCAAATAGATCACACACACACATACACGCACGTACACAAAGATATATAAGCATGTGCACACACATGATGGAACATTTAATATTGACCTATAGTTTAAATTGTGTCTTTCTCTTTGAGCACACACAAAGGGGTATTCACTTGACTTATACCATTTGTCCCCAAAAGGTTCACGGTGCTTTCACAGGGCTATATGAAAGAATAGGAATAGGCACATTACATCTCCAAGAAGAAGCAGGGTCCAACATTGCCCTTAAAAGCACATCCTATTTTTCTAGCATCTTACCTCAAAGAAACCCTTAATGTGTATGTGCAGTGCTCGGAAAATATTTGTTGATTGCTAATGCTGTGTCTGAAAATCAGTTGGAAGATGTTTACCCAAGCCTGCCAGTTTACAAAGATCAGCTAAGTGCCTGGCGATCCTCCACGTTTCTTAACTGAGGATATATTTCTTTAAAGGAATGTTTCTGTGGATAGTCCAAAAACTGAACGACAAACCACAGATTCCGAGCTCGGACTGGAAATCCTCAGTGGGTCCTGGAATCATTGTCCTTTTGTACTAAGCACAACAACAAGGCATTTTATTTTTACATAAAAAAGTATTACATTCTATAAAATTTCTTAATTGCTTAAAAAGAGACGGGCATAATTAATGGAATTAATGAAAACAAAATAAATCTCATGGTTCTTAAGATTTTCATCCATTTTATTCTTTAATTTTTTTTTTCAGGAAAAAAAATTTAAGTCACACTCATGGCCAAGAGTGTATTGATAGGTATTTTAACATCCCAAGATAGTAAAAGCAGTAGCTGTTTTTTCTTAAGAAGGAAGGTTTAAACATATATTATCCTTGGTGAGATGAAGCTCAGAGACCAGATTCACTTTGTGCCATTTTCTGGTACTACTCTAGACTCAAATCAATTCCAACAGTAATGCGCTAACGAGTAGCAGGGTGGTTGCTTTTAAAGTTATTTTCCATGGCAAATTGCAATGGGGGTTTATAAGTGCCAAAGATAAAAATTGACTCAAAGATTACTGGCTGTTAATTTTTGTCAATTAATAATCAGTGGGAACCATTAGAATTAGTATAGTAGAATTAGCAACATCTCTTTTCAACGGGTTCAAGTTTAAATAAAAAGAAGACTAAATTCCACATGATAGAACAGACCCTGCCTTATTTGACCCTTGCTTGATTTTTCAGCCTTATCTCCTGACAACTCTGCTATGATCCCCACCCAGCATTTCCTGAATAGACATCCTTTCAAACATCCATATTCATTGCATGTGCTGTTTCCTGTAGCTGGAGGGCTTTACCCTAGGCTAAACCTGACTGCTCAATTTAACAAACTCCTACTTACCCTTTTAGCCAGAGTTAAAATGTTACCTCTTATATTAAAGCTTCTTCAAATACACTGTCCTAGTGGGCCCATGGGATTGGACGTGTACTCCTCCTACAAAGCATTTATTCCATTGTTTGTATAGTGATCAGAGGTAGTCACATTTGTCTCCCACAGCAAATTGTGAGCAAGACAAATATTTTCAGATTTGTACCCCCAGGGTGCCTGGAACAGTGTGTAGTTCTTTGTGGGAGCTCAATGAACATTGGATAAATGGAGGAAGGAAGGAGGTGTGAATGGAGTGAATAAGTAAATTGATTAAGTAACAGACAAATAAAATCCAGACTTGGGTAGGGTTCTCCAGCAGGCAGGAGCTCACCTACAAACCAAAGGTGAGCTTTGTTTGAAATGAAGGCAAAAATACAATGCTGTCTCCTACGTAGTGGAAATAATACTCCTGAAACTCTCAAGGAAGCAGAGTCTAACACGCCCATGAAAAGTACATCTCACTACACAAGTCCTTCTCCTCTGCCAGAAATGGGCCTTTCTGGACTAACCCTTTTCCATTTCTGACCATGACTTTTGGTATAACCCCTGAACAATAACGTGTGCCACCTGATCGGACTTTAGCTTACAATTTCCAAACTTCTCTTTTCTTATAATTTGGTTTAAAAGCTCTACGCAGATCTTTTTTTTTTCTTTTTCTAGTTTTTATTCTAGAGCATTCTATATGGTTTCTCAGCCATATGCTCTGTCATGGAGCTTCATAGACAAAGTAAAGCGGTGTGTAGAGTCCTATTTTTTATAAGCTAAGTTGTGAATCCTCTTCAATTTTAAAAAATTCACCTGATTCAAATTTCCACTGCCTCAAGTTTACAAGATTGACTCTTCCTTGGTCAATCCTATTATACAAACTAACACAGTAATCCAATCATTGCTTCTGTAGCCATGGTGATGGCCATGGCTCCCATAGTCACCTCTGAGAGAATGGGTCCTGGATCAATAGTGTCAGCTCTGGACTCTTCCTAAAACCCTAATTTTATGTGTCTAACAGGCAACTAGACATATCTACCAAGATGACTAGGTGGAACTTTAAAATGGGATTCTTCCGCAAAGCAAACACATCTTCCCCTAAAGAGTTCTCCCGCCATTTAGTTGTTATTTGCACATCACCTTCCTTAGCCATGTGTGCTGAACACCACCAGTGTTCTTTGCTTTTTTTCTCTACCAAAGTCTGACTCATCCATCCTCAGATCCTGACGACTGTGCCTTTGTTATCCCTGGCTGAAATGTTACTTGGGAAGCCATGTTCAGTTACAATGCACCTCCCAAATGTCCTCCTTCTCATCTCTCCTAGTCTTTCTATAACACCTACAGGACTTCCACATATTGCTCCCATGGTGATTTCCTACCATCCTACTGCAAGCTTTTTAAATAACTCTGTGTTTGTTTCCTACCTCTAGTCTTTTACACATTGCTAGAATTTAGATGTGATTAGTAAAAATGTGTGTCTCTAATATTAAATCACAGCCTTGTTTACTGCACTCTTTTCCAAGTTCACACTAAGTAGGACTTCTTGCTTGGATGATTGCATCTTCTGTCCTAGCTCTTCTCCCTGACTCTAAATCTGTTATTTTATCTAATCCATTACACACTACATTAATTTTCCTGTTATTTCATCTTGTCCAAAAACCCTTAATGGCTCCTTCTCGCCTAATGAAGTAAGGAAATCTCCTTTGCCTAGCATTTGGGGCACTTTAAAATTTTAGACCCAACCTGTCTTTCTATCTTCTTCTCCTACTGCCCTCCTAATTTTCCTTTGCTTGCTCTTAACCGGAACACGGCTCTATCATTCTTAGGTTATGCTTTTCACAACTTCTATCACCTTCTTGGTCCCCAGTAAAATTCCTGGGAGAGAAGGACATGGGGCAGAGTGGGTCCTGGGAGCTGACCCAGGGCATGCCTTGTAGGGCAGCAGGGTCCTAGGATGCACCCAGGGCTTAAAGTCCTGGCAAGCACCCCATTCCTCAGGTTGGGCCACTTGGGCAAATAGCACAACCTTCCAATCCCTCATTTCTTCATCCCTAAAAAGAGCATAAGAACCTTGTTCAAAAAGTTATTTAGAAGACGAATGGTAAAAATGCAAATACTGAAATTATTGTCACAAAATAACTATAGTTGAGGATTTACCCCCCTACTCTTAGATTAAGTACTCTGGATAAGACAAAATTGGGGCAAGAGAAGTTCTGAAGATGAAACCTCTCTCCAATCTGAGGCATCTCCTTTATTAAGTCATTACAATTTTAAAACTGCTCAAATGCCTTTCAGATGAGGAAAACAGTGAAAACTATTCAGTTGTTAAGCAAGGGACTATCTTTTTAAGGAAATAAAAGTTTATGCCTTTCCTTTTCCTTTGGAACTCATTTTCTTGGTGATTTAATTTAACATTTAAAGAATTTGATTTAGCTTAATTTGGGGCACTTCTAACCTTCTCTTTCTCTTTCTTTCTTCCTGGCCCAGATCAAGGGATCAATTTCTGTCTCCTGAAATGTGGGAGTGGTTTCCTCTGAAGCCATTTAGAAGCTATAAGTGAAAAGCAGAACGGGTCTAAATAATTGCTAATGTTACTGCCAGAGCAGGTGCATCTCAACAAGGTGTGTAGTCGTCCAGAACCCTCAAACACCCATTTTAACTGATTGCAGCCACAGATGCTCCTACATACCCAGCACCCTCTGCTTGCTTCAGCTCTGAAGTAGAAGGGAGCTTTCACTCTCAGGGTGAAATCTTGTTTGGACTTTTTTTTTTTTTTTTTTTTGAGACAGAGTTTCACTCTTGTCTCCTAGGCTGGAGTGCAGTGGCGTGATCTCAGCTCACTGCAAACTCCCCACCATGCAGTTTCAAGTTATTCTCCTGCCTCAGCCTCTCAAGTAGCTGGGATTATAGGTGCACGCCACCACGCCTGGCTAATTTTGTATTTCTAGTAGAGATGGGGTTTCACTATGTTGGCCAGGCTGGTCTTGAACTTCTGATCTCAGGTGATCTGCCCACCTCAGCCTCCCAAAGTTTGGGATTACAGGCGTGAGCCACCACATCCAGCCTGGAGTCTCTTTCTGAATAGGATGGGTCCAAAGTAACTGGGAGCTAGTCAACCCACCCAAACAGGGAAAATTCCGAGATGGAGCAAGTCAGGCTTTCAGCTGTACCAGGCTGTGTATACTGTTTATTTTTGCCACTGTATTCCCTGCACATTGAACATAGTAGATGCTCAGTAAATATTTGATGAGTGAATAAATATAGTAGAGAGCTCTGAAAATTCAGATTTTATTCCACTTACTACATATCTAAGGACATGTGGTAAACAAACTATATTTTTGTTTATACATATATGTGTGTGTGTGTGTGTGTGTGTGTGTGTGTGTATGTATATATATATATGTAGATAAAGATTTGAGGCCGGGCGCGGTGGCTCACGCCTGTAATCCCAGCACTTTGGGAGGCCGAGGCGGGCGGATCACGAGGTCAGGAGATCGAGACCATCCCCGCTAAAACGGTGAAACCCCGTCTCTACTAAAAATACAAAAAATTAGCCGGGCGTAGTGGCGGGCGCCTGTAGTCCCAGCTACTTGGGAGGCTGAGGCAGGAGAATGGCGTGAACCCGGGAGGCGGAGCTTGCAGTGAGCTGAGATCCCGCCACTGCACTCCAGCCTGGGCGACAGAGCGAGACTCCGTCTCAAAAAAAAAAAAAAAAAAAAAAAAAAGATTTGAATGTCATTTTGAGAAACAGTAAAATGCATGAAAAATAGCAGGCTTTCACCAAAACAATCTAGGAATGTTGTGAAAAAACAACCATGAATTTAACCCTAAATCAATGTACTAACAGGTTTCAGGACACGATACCCCTAAATATGGCACATTGGCATTTGTGGAAACAGTAGAATGAAGGTCACACTCACCTCCTTGCCCTTCTCCCCTTAAGCAGGCCATAAAACACTCATTCAAGAGGTGCCCTCCCCACACCTGGAGGAAAGGAACATCCTTATCTCTGAAGACACGGAGGCACAGAGAAATCTGAACAAACAGGCCTAAGTTTCATCCAGTTTATTTCCACTACATCATATCCTTTCGTCTTCCAATCACATTTCTTCATGACTGTCCACTCTTCAAAACTAAGCATAAAAATACACAGTTTACCTGTTTCTTTGGACCTTCATTTTCTTATAGAGGCTCCCCTGGCACATAAAACTTATTAAATTAATGCACATGTTTTCTCTTGTTAATCTGTCTTTTGTTGTAGAGTCTTCAGCTATGAACCTAGTGATGGGTGAGGAAATATATTTTTCTTTCCCCTGCGGTATGAAATGAATGCATGGCAACAAATGAAAAAAATTACTAAAATTATCCAACAGTATTCTTTGTTGTTTTTTAATAATTATTTAACATTTGCTTACACAATTATTACAAAATGCACAGACCAGTAAGTTCTATTTTATTTTTCACACCTGTAGGAAATACGCTGTTTTTCATTCACTTATCCACTTTTTTTTCAGTAAAAAATTATTACACGCTAGCTAAGACCTTGGGCACTATGCTAGGTAATTAATGAGAAAATTAAATATACTTCTGCCCTCAGAGACATTATAGTTTCATAGAGGAAGCAGGTACCTGCATAGGTAATTATAATACAGTGGGTTAAGTACAATGATGGATGCAACAACAGTCTGCAATGGTAGCACATAAGCATAGTACCTGGTCTACAGTCAAAGAGCAGGAAAAAAAAATCTCTAGGGAGATGAATCTTCACTCAATCTTGAAATTCAAATAAAACCAAACTGAAGAAATAAGTTGGAAAGAGAATGAGTCAGGTAGAGGAACAGTTCAGTGCAAAAGCCTAGAGACAAATATACCCTCGTAAGAAACTAAGGGACATGTATGGCTCGGCAAAGATTCCATCACGTGCTCTAAGCATGACATACCTGTCACCACTCCCCCTTTCCGTGTCCATGGCAGACATGGCTAACTGATCACAGCATTCCCACAGAACTCAGATGCCTCCCCAAGTCCTTTTAGCATGGCACTCTAGGAAGTCAATTTCAGTCCATCAGAATGCAAGATGAAATGTCCTTGCCATCTTTGCTATAGATGATGGGAAGTCTTTGAAGGTTATAAATAGGGGAAGGACAGTAGCCTGATTTGTGATTTAAAAGATTCCTGTGGTAGAACTGTAGATAGTGGATTTGGGAGGGAGTCGAAACAAAAATGAAAGGCTGCTTTTATATCTTATATATGAATCATTATAGGACATAAATTCTTCTCACAGCCTGTATTCAAAAGGGAATTAAAAAGCAACTGGGATAGAGCCCATTTAGCTCTATAAGGTCTGAGCTAGCACTGTGTTTGGCCCTATCATTAACAGAAATTCCAAAGAGAAAAAAAATTCAGAGTCTTCCCTCAGAAATTTCCCCATCTCAGCTATGCTAACATTTGCTCCTGGAGGATGAAGGTGCTAGAGTTTCTTTAGGAAAAAAAAAAAGTCATCTCATAATGAATGCTACCACCTTACTAAAGAGGAAAGAATGTTATTTGTAGTTGCTGTTTTACCATCAGAGTTGAGTTCTAGAAACTTCAACAAAAAAAAAAAACTCAACAGGAAGGGAATAATAATTTAGTTTGGTCTACACTGCTTTTGCAGTCAGAGCGGTCAGTGACTTTCAAAATAACCACAGCTGGGCTTGTTGAATTAAAAGAGTGAAACTTTTTTTCCACTTTTTTTTTTATCCCAACAGAACTGCCACTTGTCAGTCGATTTGTTTTTAATTCCCAGGTCTCCCTGGTTTGTTTGTAGCTACTGTGTTTTTTCTTTCTAAGTGCATGAGGAGGGTTATAGTTTTGATAATCCATGTCCCCCAAAGGCTCCGGGGATATAGGGAAACAGCTAAGTTGAGAGGGAATCTATCAGGAGGAGAAAACACCAGATAGGAAGGTTTGTTCTCATCACACAAGTGAGGTTTTCACATGAGTACTGGGGGTGACAAATCAAGAGGAGGGAATCAGATATTAGACACCAGGCATTTAGCAGGAGGAGAAAGGAAGAGGAGATTTCTCAAGTCAATTTCGTATTTGGGTAGAAATCTGCAGGCTTGAGGCACCTATCACTGCTATGTCTAGACTGGTGGACAGACACCAGCCAGGAGAGGGGAAGAAGGTGGGTGAGAGGTGGGCAGCAGCAGGCATCATGAGGAGGGGAAATTCTTTTCCCAAAGGACTCCACACCAAAAAAGTGCAACCAGAACAAAGAGTTGTGCTGTTTCCATTGAGAGAGAGATGATTCTTTGAAGGTGACAGAGCAGGTTGAGTCAGGGAACTCTGACCCCGACCCTCCATGGTGTACCCTCGGTAACTAAAATACCTTTCCATACCACTCTATTTTCTATGTGTTTTTTTCATTTGTTTGGAGGAGATACTGTGAGAGAAACTGAGGAATACTATTAAGAATTTTAAGCTTCTATTTTATGCTTTAGTCTAGAAAGGATTTAAGAAAAATTTTAATGGTAAATGTACCTCCCAAACAAGTCTATCAAAACTTAGGAAGTATTTTTTGTTTTGTTTTGTTTTTTGCTTTCCACACCCCAAAACAAATTCTTTTGATGGACACTTATTTTAGTCTGCTCTTTCTCTCTCAAAAAAACAGCTGTTACAGTCCAGAGACCAAGGCTTCCTGACTTGTGGAGTAAATGGAGGAGGAGTCTGTTGTCATGTAAATTACGCCTTTGGTCTTCCACCAAGACAGTCTCCACACAGTGATTTGTTTTGTGAGTACATCAACAAACAAGCAAGGTCTAGCATAAAGAGCAAACCAGTCCTTTACTCTCCATCAGAGATGAGTCTACCTGAGATTGGTATGATGGGATTCCCTTTGATCTCTAATCTCTCTCTCTCTACTCAGCACGAATCCCCACCAAATACTCTGTGATTCTACTTCACCCTCCCCACAGAAGGATGCTAAACAATGATTCATATCATTAAGATGGTCCAGAGTGAAGATTTCACAGGATAAATTTTTTTTTTCTTAATATGAATCACCTCTCCTTAAAAACCTTGATCCAGTATTTTATGTCCACAAAATGACTACTCTTTCTGTAGCCTTACTAAAGCCTGTCTTCCCAGATGGAAGGAAGGAAAGAAGGAGAGTCAGGAAGATACACCAACCCTGCCCAGGAGCTCTATTTTCTAATTGTGCAATATTGCTATTTCTCTTCATTTCTACACCCAGAGGCACAGGCAGTAAGGCAGGTAGGATTTTGTTTTGGCTTGTTCTTGATGGTTTCTGTTTTGACAAGATGTCTGTAAAGACCTGCCAGCCCAGCTATAAAAAATTTTGTCTGGATTGAAACTTGGCATTTATAGTTGCAGTCTCAGGCAAGTCTTTTTTTTTTTTTTTAACTCTATTTGGATTAAATCTGTTAAGACTCTTAAATAAGTGTAAATATCCATTTCAAGAGCTTTATGAGTTCCTTGATATTCTGTGTCCTACTATGTGAAGAAGAGATTCAAATCTCTAAGAGAGAAAAGCCACCAGTCTATGATTAACGTTTCTTCCTAAGGCATGTGGGTGAATGTATTTACGTAGACAATATATTCGTCCATGTATTGCCCATGGACATTCAAATAATGAAATAAATGTTCAGCAAACTCCTGGCCCCCATCTCCATCCCCATTGGGAACCTGATCTTTGTCAGGCTGAGAAACACGCAGGAAAAGCAGTGAGCAGCAGGAGCCCACCTCGCATCCCTCTCTCTGTGACATGCAACAACACAGGCAGGTGAGGGTGACGGAAGCCTGTTGTCCCCACCAGGAGCACAACTCCACTCTTGGCAGGAGGCCCAGCGTGGAGCAGCATCTGTTGCCTGACCACTCAACTTGTCAAGAGAGCAGCTTGGTTCCTTTCATCGTATTGATGTCTCTCCTCTCTGCGCCCACCAGCCAAAAGTTTAGTGGTGGCCATGGTATCAAACTCTTAACCATCTCTTCTTTATTTTCCCATATCAATAGTTAGAAAAATATTTTGTTATCTTCTCGTGTTTTGTGCAGATTGTTGTTTTTTGCTATATTAAAATGTTCCCAAAATGAAAACATTTAAAAATGCATAGAATACGAAACACCCCCGGCCTTCTTCACCTTGTGCTGTCATCTACCCCTGCAAGAAATCATCTGTGTTCATTTCTCCTTGGTCCCTCCAAGGTTTCTTTATGCAAAAACTAGTGTGGGAACATGTAATTTTATTTTCTTCTCTTTCATATTACACCACTCTGCACCTTAGCTTTTTCATTTGACAATATCATTCCACATTAGTACCTAGATACTGTCCTCCTTCATGTTTGACAGCTGCATGGTGTCACACTGGGTGGATGTAGAATCAACCACATGCTTGGTTCTCTGTACTTGTGCTGTTTTCAGTCTTTCCTTATAAGAGATATTGAAGCAATGAAGGCCTGTAATCCCAACAGTTTGGGAGCCTGAGGCAGAAGGATCTCTTGAGCTCAGGAGTGCGAGATCAGCCTGGGTAACATAGGGAGACCCCACCTCTACAAACAAACAAAAAAAATTAGCTGGGCATGATGGCACATGCCTGTGGTCCCAGCTCCTCGGCAGGCTGAGGTGGGAGGATCGCTTGAGCTCGGAGGTTGAGGCTGCAGAGAGCCAGGATGGTGCCACTGCACTGCACTCCAGTCTGGATGATAGCAAGACCCTGTCTCAAAAAAAAAAAAAAAAAAAGGAAAGGAAAGGAAAGGAAAGGAAAGGAGAAAGGAAAGGAAAGGAAAGGAAAGGAAAGGAAAGGAAAGGAAAGGAAAGGAAAGGAAAGGAAAGGAAAGGAAAAGGAAAGGAAAGGAAAGGAAAGGAAAGGAAAAGGAAAGGAAAGGAAAGGAAGGATATTGAAGTAATGTATTCTAACTAAAAAACATATGCTTTTTAATTTTATTAATGACATCCTCTTGTTCTCTTCTCCAGCTTTTTGAGTCATATATCTAATTAGTTTATTTTCATTGTTTCATTTTTTATTGATAAAGATATTTCAGGCTATAACTTTTTTCTTAGCAATGATATAGTTATATTGCAAAATTCTGATATATGTTTTCATCATTATTAAATTTTGTATTTTGATTTATATTTCTTCTTTGACCCAAGAATTGTTTTTAACATTTTTGTTATTTCCAAGTGAAAAGGCCTTGCTCTGTATTGAACTATAATTTCATTGTATTGCTTTCAGATAATTTTGCTGCCCCTATGTCTACTTCATTAGAATTTATTGAAATTTTCTTTGTGGTATGATTAATATGTGATCAATTTGTATGAAAGATCTATGGGCTCTTTAAAAGTTGGAGCCAGGGTGTTCGTTTGATATATATCCGCAGGAAGTAACTAAAAAGGTTGCTTAGGTCTTCTCTGTCCTTGCTTTTTTTGTGTTTCCTTTAAACCACTTGATGTGACTTGTACTGAGAAAGGTTAGTCATAACCTCCAGTTATTAGTGAGTTTCTTCTATCTGCTGTGGTTTCTATTTCATGAAAGTTCCCACTGTAATTTGCTATATAGATATTCTTAAATATTGCATCTTGAGTGAATTATAGCCTTCAGCGTTATAAAGTTTCATGTCTGTCATTATTAATGCTCTTTGGCCTGAATCTCACCTTGTTTAACATTAAGATTGTGACCTCCAGTTCTGTCTCTTTTTGTTTGCATTTTCCTAGTATAACTTTTTCCATCCTTTTGTTCAGCTTTTCTTAAACACTTTTAGATGTTTCTTTTGTATACAGCATAGAGAATTGTATGTACTTGGTAATCCAGCCTGAAATTTCTATTAACAGCTAAGTTTATTTTTATTTATTCATACAGCAGATATGTATGGTCTCTAGTCTGTAATATTAACTCATACTATGTTCACATATATGTATATGTATACATAATTTTCACAATGTGATCTGCGATATTTTTGCTCTATTTTGTTTTCTATTTTTGGTTATTATTCTAATACTTAGAAAGTTATCTGTTTCGTTCTTGGAGTTAATTTTATATTAATTTTTATATAATGTCTTTAATTCCATCTTTTCTTTAAACATTATGTACTAGTTTCCTATTATAAACAACAGTTTGGAAGCTCTTCCTTTTCCTTCATGACCTAATTTTTAAAAATACAGTTACTGCCTTTTATATTTGCCTTTGTAGTATTAAATAAGCTAAAATTTTTTTTAACATTTACGGATATTTTTCTTTTTTTTCCTTTGCTTTTAAGTTTAGGGGTACATGTGCAGGTTTTTAATATAGGTAAACTGCATGTCATGGGGGTTTGCTGTGCCGATTATTTTATCATCCAGGTATTAAGCCTAGTAACCATTTCTTATTTTTCCTAACCCTCTCCCTCCTCCCACCCTCCTCCCTCAGGTAGGCCCCAGTGCCTGTTGTTCCCCTCTATATGTCTGTGTTCTCATCATTTAGCTCCCACTTGTAAGTGAGAACATGCAATGTTTGGTTTTCTGTTCCTGCATTAGAATGCTAAGGATAGTGGCCTACAGTTCCATCCATATTCCTGAAAAGGAGATGATCCCATTCCTTTTTATGGCTGCATAGTATTCCATGGTGTATATGTACCACATTTTCTTTATGTATTCTACCATTGATGGACATTTAGGTTGATTCCATGTCTTTGCTATTGTGAATAGTGCTGCAATGAACATATACGTGTGTGTGTCTTTAGGATAGAATGATTTATATTCTTCTGGGTGTACACTCAGTGATGGGATTGCTATGTTGAATGGTAGTTCTGTTTTTAGCTCTTTGAGGAAGCACCACACTGCTTTCGTCAGTGGCTGAACTAATTTATACTCCAACCAACAGTGCAGAAGTATTCCTTTTTCGCCACAACCTTGCTAGTATCTGTTATTTGTTTGACTTTTGAATAAAAGCCATTCTGACTGGTGTGAGATAGTATCTCACTGTGGTTTCGATTTGCATTTCTCTAATGATCAGTGATGTTGAGCTTTTTTTCATATGCTTATTGACCACATGTACGTCTTCTTTTGAAAAGTGTCTGTTCATTTACCTGGCCCACTTTTTAATGGGTTTTTTTTTCTTGTAAATTTAAGTTCTTCATAGATAAATAAGCTAAAATTTTACCAACTGATTTGTCAGCTTTAAAAGATAACTTATGGCTATTACCTATGTGGCAAGCAATGATCTTAGACTACTTTCCACATTTGCTACCCATTCTTCTATTTCTTTTTATTTTATTTTTTGAAATGGAATCTTGCTCTGTCGCCAGGCTGGAGTGCAGTGGCGTGATCTTGGCTCACTGCAACCTCTGCCTCCTTGGTTCAAGTGATTCTCCTGCCTCAGCCTCCTGAGTAGCTGGGACTACAGGTGCGCACCACCAGGCCCACTTAATTTTTGTATTTTTACTAGAGATGGGGTTTCACCATGTTGGCCAGGATGGTCTTAATTTCTTGACCTCATGATCCACCCACCTCAGTCTCCCAAAGTGCTGGGATTACAGGCGTGAGCTACCGCACCCAGCTCCCATTCTTCCATTTCTGTTGGTATATTATTCCTACATTTTCAGAGCATCTACAATGTACATATCATTCTGTCATGCTTATTTATAACTTTCATTTAATCTGAATTTCAAAGTTGAATATATATATAATATTCATCACTAGTCTTTTTCCTACAACTTTCCCTATGTCCTCCTTGTTGGCCAAAGGTCATTCTCTAGTGAATTTACCATCAAGATATGATCAAAACAATTTGTCTGCATCCTTTATAATTGTATTAGTCCATTTTTGTACCGCTATAAAGAAATACCCAAGGTTGGGCAATTTACAAAGAGAAAGAGGCTTAAAGGACTCACAGTTCCACACGGCTAGGGAGGCCTCACAATCATGGCAGAAGGCAAAGGAGGGGCAAAGGCACGTCTTACATGGCGGCAGACAAGAGAGTGTGTGTAGGGGAACTGCCCTTTATAAAACCATCAGATCTCATGAGACTTGTTCACTATCATGAGAATAGCACAGGAAAAACCCATCCTCATGATTCAATTACCTCCCACCAGGTCCTTCCCATGACATGTGGGGATTATGGGAGCTACAATTCAAGATGAGGTTTGGGTGGAGACACAGCCAAACCGTATCAAAAACTGAGGAGCAACTTAGCTTCATACAAGGTTTTGGGCGCATCCTTTTTTTACCCTTGGGTATCTCGTAGGTAGTTCCATGGCTTCTGCCATTAGGCATTGCTGTTGAGAAGCTCGATGATGACATTGGTCTGGTTTGTGCAGGTATAACTGAATACCACGCATTGGGTAATTTATAAAGAATAGAAATTATTTCTCATAGTTCTGGAGGCTGGAAAGCCCCAAATCAATGCACCAGCACCTAGAGAGGGTGTTCTCACTGTGCCATAACATGCGGAAAGCATCACACAGGGAAAGGGCAAAGAGAAAGACAAAAGGGGACTGAACTTGTCCTTTTTAAGGAACTTACTCCCACAGTAAGGGAGCCACTTCCATGATAACAGCATTGACCCACTCATGAGGACAGAGTCTTCATGATCTAATTGCCTCTTAAAGGTATCACCTCTTAATATTGTTACAATGGCAATTAAATTTCAACATGAGTTTGGGAGGGGACCAACATTCAAATCAAAGCATAACTTTTCTTTCAAAAGAACTTCGTTTTTGCCTGGCTGTTATAAAGATACTTGTTTCATTTTCAAAATCAAATATTGTAATGGGTCAGTGTTCACAGTTTGGGGTCAATTTTCACTTTTAATATATACATTTAAATCTTATTTCAAGAAAGGTGTCATGAGTTGTAGTTTAAATGTTTGCTTTGTTCCAATGTGTTCATTTTCTTCTTTGGGAATTGCAATTACAGAAATGTTACATTTCCTTTGCCTCTCCTCCATATCATTTTTTCTATATCCATTTTTAAAATATTTTTAAATATTTTCTTATTATCTCAATTCTAACCTTTATGTTCCTAATCATTCTTCAAACTGTGAGTATTTTATTTTGTTCTGTATAATTTAGTCTTCATTTCTGAAGTGGCCTTTTTCTCCTTTATTCATTTTTTTTTTTTTTTTTTGAGGCAGTCTTGTTGTTGCCCAGGTTGGAGTGCAGTAGCACAATCATGTTTCACTGCAGCCTCCACCTCCTCAGTTCAAGCGATCCTCTCACCTCAGCCTCCTGAGTAGCTGGATCTACAGACGTGTACCACCATGCCTGGCAACTTTTTTTTCTTTTTGGTCATTTTGCCCAGGCTGGTCTCAAACTCCTAGGCTCAAGTAATCTGCCCGCCTCAGCCTCCCAAAGTGTCAGGATTATAGATGTGGGCCACCGTGCCTAGCAGATATGGCATTTTTAAACGTTGAAACAACTCCTGCAGGTATAGCAGGGCCTCTCTCTATATGTATATACTAGTGTGAATCAAAACTGAGGGCTCACTGTCCCTGTCTATACCAAGCTAAGAATTTAGCCTTAGGAATGGAAACAGTATTGTAGGGACTGCTCTGAAAAACCCGTCTGTTTCATAGGTGACCCACACAGGAAACTTAATGAAATACTATAGAATACCACAGTCCTTAATCAAAATAGTTCATTAAATCAGATAACCAGTTTTAAAATTACATATACATGTGAAATATATATGATTTTAAAATCTTGTTTTCATTGAAAATATTCATTCACCAATCTTTTCATTAGTTAATTTTCACTTTCAGATGGGTGATCAGTGTTTAGAGTTTCATGCCATCTTGTTTGTTTGTTTTTGCATAAATCACACTTATAATGCAATGTCTATAACTTCTAATTTCAGTTTCTTTAAAGTTGACAGAATGTAAGTATCCCTGAGAAACAATATGGGTAGTGGGGTGAGCTCACAATTTTCCTAATATCTTATAGTCATCTTATTCACACCTGAAACAACAGGAATATTTTATAACTTTATCAAAGTTAAATATGTAACATTTAACTTTGGTTTCACAGACATATAAACTCTTCTCACAGTTATGTTTCATGATATAACATAGTTTAATTGAGATGTACTATTAAAATAGTAAATTCAACTACTATAAACCCAGCGGACTTTTTAGATCTGTGTGGGTGGTAAACTGAAGAGTAGCCTACTGTGGGTGGGGGCGGGGCGGGGGCTCAGTCAGTATGTTTTACAGAAAGAGTTAAGAGCATTGGTTAATTGGATGAGTCAGCTTTGTGCATGCCAATTAAGAGAATGTGTACTGCTTTGTGAATTTATATAGCTCCTTCTAGGGCACACCAAGGTGTTCCAGAGCTCTTCACTTGGTATCGTTGTGGAATAAGCCATTCCCTGTAAAGAGAACAAAGGCAGATCTCTTCTCCACTTTACTGCTGAGAAACATAGATTCAGAATCCTCCTATGATATGCTCAGTGAAACACAATTATGACACTCCCCCACCTTACCCCTGTATTCTTGCTGAATATTGATTGAATATTGAGCTCTTTCTCTGTCCAATCAGCTTGTGTGTGTGTGTGTGTGTGTGTGTGTGTGTGTGTGTGTGACCACATCATTGCTTTTTGCTCCAGCAGCTTTATTGTCTTTTTAAGAGAGTTTGTTGTGTTCAGGACCTTCTAAAATATACTGTGGCAATTTTATTCTTTTGCTTTATTTCTCAGCATAAAGTCTACATTCAAATTGCTTTCACTGCTAATTTTCTGTTTTATTTCTAGTGAGGTAGCTAACTTGCATTGATGCATTCTCTTCAGCAGAACATTGGTTTCCATTAAGATTTATAGTTTGCCAAGGAGTTTCAGCCTTTGAAACATCAAAAAAATATTTTGAACAATTTGAAAGTCATGTAGATTAGCATTGAAATAGTGTGCCTTAGCATTCATGGGAAGAAATAAAAGGGTGGCAAGGCCAGGAGGGGCAGATTCAAGCCATTGCATGTGCAGGCAGCAATCCTTCCAGCATTGGGGGAGTTCATATGAGGAGAATATATTATCGCCTCATGAGGCAACACATACAGAGTTAAGTCAGCTAACTTTTTGTTTGTTTGAGAACCAAAGGAAGTGAGATCCTGTGATTTTCAAAGAACATGATGCAAACCCCACTTCCCGTGCTACATATGGTCTCTTCCTCCTTTCTTGATTTTTACATGCTGGCTTTCTTTCTCACTTGTTTTCATATTTCTATTACCTATTTTGGAGGTTTTCATTTAAAACAATTACACACTGCATCTTGTAACACCCTTAGCAAAGAGGTGTTACAAAATAGTATACAATAAACACAGAAAAGCCTTAGAAGAGAAACAGGGTTTGATAGTAAATGAGCCAAATGGTAAAATAGTTGCTTAAACAGAGGCACATTGATTCAGAAGTAGGAAACATCTTAGTGGGAAGAAACAGATTAAAATCACTGCATACTATGATCACATTTTTTGTAAATGCAGTAAGTCTATGAATACATGTGTATATATTTATGTATGTATGTGTGTGTGTGTGTGTGTGTGTGTGTGTGTGTGTACTCATACACTGTGTTTGAGTGAGTGAATGCTAAGCTAAGAAGAAAAAATTCTGGAAGAATGTATCTCAAAATATTAATGGTTATCTCCAAGTATTAGAATTTAAGAGGACTTCTTCTTTTTCTTCCTTTATATTTTCTGTACTTTCTTAGTTTTTAAAACAAGAACGAACTATTTTTACTAGAAATACAAAACTGTTTACATCTGTTGCCAAAAAGGAACCTCAAATGGACGTATACTACACGTATATGAAAGCACATTTCTGGCTCACTGCAGAGCTAATGTTGGCTAGGTATCTCTTGTACCCCTTCTGAGGGAACTTACCCATTGAAATACCAAAATACTGCTCATCTCCTGGGCATAGATCTGAGGACACTAGAGTCAGTATGTATGTGAACACAGATCTGTATACTGGGGAAATACATAAATATTGGAGGAAATCATTAGTCACAATGAAGTCCACAAAATGTGATAAAACCATATGTGAAAGTCAGAACCAAAAAAAAATACAAATGATTGCATTCATCAAGCATAAGGACCACCAAAACAAAGTACAGTATTCCTTCATTCTACCCATGTGTCACTCAGCTAGAGTGTAGCAGAAGTCATATGTATCAACTATCAACCTGCCTTGAGCAAATGCTACTAAAACACAAAAATTGTCTTTGTCAGCACACTGTCAAAATCTAAGAGTAAGAAATTATTAATGTAGGGAAACTTCTAGGGTCTTCTACTGATTCATAAAAATGTTTTTTGCAGAAGTGGGCCTTAAAGCAAAGCTTGGAAAACAAGAAGTTCAAGAGCCCATGAAAGTGTAAATTGAAGTTAAAGTGGGAATACTGAGAAGAACTAGATTGGCGGTATGCCCCCTTTCTGAGTTGCCGGGGCAGTCCCAAGGCATGCTGTGCTGTAGGGGATAAGAAAGAGAAAACAGGAAGATATATGAGTGATTTTATTTATTTCCAATGTAAAACACCAAAAAAAAAAAAAATCCAACCCTTTCTGGTTCATTTGAGCCCAGGTTGAAAGAATTCTTCCTACTTATTGATTTGGGATAGGTGAAAAAGAGTGTTGCAGGAGAGATGAGAATAGAAAAAGAGAAGCGTAATCCGATATAATTCTGATTTACAGGTTGGACTGCCAACTAGAAAGCAAATATTGACAACCTGAGATCTCTCTGCAAACAAGAAGATGCCGTGGAACAAACATTCACTGAGTCACTACCACGTGCCACGCAATGTGCAAAAGATCTAACAGTGTCCAAGACACAGTTTTTGTCCTCAAGAAATTTACTTTAAGTTCAAAGAGAAGTTAACCAAAGAAGGCATTTCTGTAAATATCTCCTGTCTTAAGTTTTGAAATGTCTATTTCAAAATTTGCCCATTAATGAAACATTTTAAAGGGTTCTACATAGGCTAGGTCCTGTGCCTAAAAATTTAAAACACATAAATAATCAAGCCTGATCTCTGTCCTTGAGGATGCAATAATCTGGTTCAAATTTAAATACATTAATCAAACAGACAAAACATAAACCTTTAGGTTTCATAATATGACATGATCGATCTGACTCCATTCCTCAACTACAAACATGTCGAAATAGTGGATAAATAAATGTTTAAAGACAAAAATGGAGCTCAAAAGAAATGAGTGAAATTCTCTAGGTACTCACGATTAGAGAATTCATAATTCTTTTCAGATATACGATGAAAACTTATTATTAATCAAATATTTGTTTTAAAAGTCATGCCAAGGGAACTATTTTTGTTTTTTTTTTCTTTAGTATTTCAGTAAGTAAATACTGAACTCTGAAGTCTGCAGAGGATTAGAAATGGGTTCTCAATACAGGTAGTACATATTCATCTAAACTATTTTTTATCCCCTATATATAAATGTCTTTGTTTTCTAGTAAAAAAAAATTCATATTCATGTTTCAAATTCAGAAGATATAAAAAATGCAAAGAAAAAGAGAAATCTTTTTAAATTCTAGCACTTGGAATAACTGCTATTAACATTTTGTTATATAAACTTCCAGATTTTTTTCTGTGCCTTTACTCACACAATATGAGTATATACACATTTTACATATTTTCATCTTTATAAACCCTTAATATGCAGATAATCTTCCCTGGCCATTGTTAATTATAATTAGAAATAAAATACCATAAATTTATAACTTTAAAATCATCAAATTATTTGTTTATCAAAAGGTTATAATGCAGAATTTATAGAATATCTAAAATAGAACAACAAAAATAACAAGACTTTTTCATATCAAAACTTGTTGAATGCTGCTAAAGCTGTACATGTAGGGAAATGTCAGCTTTATATATCAATAAAGGAAACATTATAGAAAACTAATAAGCTCAGCATTCAAATTAAGTTAGAAAACTAACAATTAAGTAAACCCAAAATAAACCTAAAAGGAGGACATAAAAAGATAATAAAATAAAAATAATTTATCTGGAGAAACAGCAAAAAGAAAATTTGTTTGAAAATTAACAAGCCATTGGTAAGACTGATCAAGAATTAAAAATATGTCACAAATAATCATAATTAGAAATAAGAAAAATAAATGTATCATACAGAGAAGCCATTTCAAATGTAAAGATTCACCAGATACGTAAGAAAAATTTATGCTGTATATAATGCAATACTTTGGGAGAATACAAAGGTAAGGCTCTTTAACTTATTTCATATAGAATAGAGCAATTTTGATAAAAAATACACAAAGATAGTAAAAGAAGGGAATATCATAGACCAAGATTGTCCATGAATAGAAAAACAAAAATACAAACAAAAATATTAGAAAACCCTCATCTAGTACCCATTAAAATGGCTACTATTAAAAAAGAAAAAGAAAACAGGCCAAGCATGGTGGCTCATGCCTGTAATCCCAGCACTTTGGGAGGCCGAGTTGGGCAGATCACTTGAGATCAGGAGTTCAAGACCAGTCTGGCCAACAGGGTGAAATCCTGTCTCTACTAAAAATACAAAAATTAGCCTGATGTGGTGGTGCATGCCTGTAATCCCATCTACTCAGGAGACTGAGGCATGAGAAATGCTTGAACCCAGGAGGTGGAGGTTGCAGTAAGCCGAGATCATGCCACTGCACTCTATCCTGGGTGACAGAGCAAGACTCTGTCTCAAAAAAATAACAAAAATTTTTTTAAAAAGAAAACAAGCATTGGCAAGGATGTGGAGAAACTGGAACCCTAGTGCACTGTTGGTGGGAATGTAAAATGATGCAGCTACTATGAAAAACAATATGGTGCTTCCTCAAAAAATTAAAAATAGAATTAACATATGATCCAACAATTCCACTTTCGGATATGAAGCGGCATTATGCACAACAGCCAAGAGGTAAAAAACAAACAAGCCAACAAAAAACAGCATAAACATCCACTGATGGATAAAGGGATAAACAAAATATGGTATATACATACAATGGAATATCATTTAGCCTTAAAAAGGAAGGAAATGCTACTACAGATATGAATCTGAAGCACATTATGCTGAGTGAAAAAGCCAGCCAGTCACAAAAAGACAAATACTGTGTGATTCTGCTTACATTAGGTATACAGAGCCATCAAATTCACAGAAACAAAAGTAGAACGGTGGCTGCCAGGGGTTGAGGGGAAGGAAGTATAGGGAGTTGTTTAATGGGTATGGTTTTAGTTTTGCAAGATGAAAAGAGTTCTGGAAATTGGTTGCACGACAGTGTGAATATACTTAATACTACTGAACTTTATACTTAAAAATGGTTCAAGTTGGTACACTTTATGTTTCTCCTCCTCAGCCTCCCGAGTAGCTGGTATTACAGGCACCCGCCACCATGCCCAGCTAATTTTTGTATTTTTAGTAGAGACAGGGTTTTACCATGTTGGCCAGGGTGGTCTCAAACTCCTGACCTCAGGTGATCCGCCCATCTTGGCCTCCCAAAGTGCTGGGATTGCAGGCGTGAGCCACCGCGCCCGGCTGAAATTAGACCAAATTCAGCACCGGCACCAGAAAGAAATGTATATGATCAGAAATCAAGAGCAACAGAAATGAAAGACATCTGAATAAATATAAATAACTTTTTTTCCTCCTCTTACATTTTTTGTGTAGAATTTCATATAGAATAGAACAATTTTGATAAAAATATATTTGTTGAAAAGCAAAAACTACAACATTGCCTGCTGGAGTTTGTCAATGCGTGCAGATGTAATACATATGACACTTTAATGTAAAGATCAATGGGGGACAGTAAAGGGACTGATATAGTTGTAAGAATTCTATATTTTACTTGAAATGGTAAAATATTAAAAACACATATCAAGAAAACTTCAAAATAATCATTAATTTTTAAAATTAGACTTGAACAAATAGAAAAGTTAGATATGTATTGTAATCCCTAGAGCAAATACCAGAAAATATGAAGCTTAAAATTGAATAGATAAATTAAGATGGAATATTACAATAATTCAAATAATCCATAAGAAGGCAGGAAAAGGAAAAACAAGTGAGCCAGAGAACAAACAGGAGATTCCAACTGTATCACTAGCAAGAATGTTACTAAATGAAAATTATAAATGGTCTGAACACATTAAATGAAAGATGGAAATTGCCATATTCTGTTTTTAAAAGACCCAGCTAAATGCTGCCAGTAAGAGATGCATTTAAAATATAAAGACATAGATGGATTCAAAATTTAAAGATGGAAAAAGTCATTATGCAAACAGAAATGAAAAGAAAATTGAGTGGCTCTATTAATATTAGCCAAAGTAAACTTCGAGCAATGAACATTACCAGAGATAAGCAGATACGTTAAATAATGGCAAAAGGGTCACCTTAACAAGAATGCACAGCAAACCTAAATAGATATTCATTTAACAACTTAAATTGAAACCTATGAAGAAGTCTCATAGAAATGAAAGAGGAAACAGAAAAATCCACAATTATAATTGGAGACTTCAATACTTCTTCCTTAGTAATTGTTAATACAGCAAGCAGACAGAAAATAAATAAGGATATAGAAGACATGAACAAAATTATTAACCAATTTGGCCTAATTGATACTCATTCTGCAACAGCAGAATACGCATTCTTTCTGATTGCACGTGGGACATTCACTAAGACAGATCACGTTCTGGGCTATAAAACAAACCTTAACCAATTTAAAAAGAGTAAAAGCCATATAAAATGTGTTCTATGACATAACTGAATTGAACTGGAAATCAATGACAGAAAGATCACTATAAAATTCCCAAATATTTGGAAATTAAATAGAACACTTCTATATAATCCATGAGTCACTGCAGAAGTTACAAGATAAATTAGAAAATATTTTGAGCTGAGTGAAAATGAAAATGCAATATATCAAAATGTATGGGATCCAGGTAAAGCAGTGTTTAAGTAGATGTTTACAGCATTGAATGCTTAGGGTAAAAAGCCCTCAGATTAATGATTGAATGTCTGCTTTAAGAAACTAGAAAAAGAACAGCAAATTAAACCCAAAGCAAGCCCAGGAAAAAAATAATAAAGATCAGAGTGTAAATCAATGAAATAAAATCTAGAAAGAGCAATAGAGAACATCAATGAAACCAAAAGCTGGTGATAACACATAAATATTTCTATTTCCAGCTATAATGGACAAGCTTATACCATACTAACCATCCCACAAAAAGCAAAAATAAATAGAATGCAAATCAAATATTTAAAATATATATGAAGTATCAGAGAACTATCAAGTTTCCCAGCACTTGAGGTGTCAAGATGTGGAAGAAAAGGAAATTACATTGATATCATCCCAATATTCTATGACACCTTCCCACTCAAATCATTTGGCAATCTGAAAGTGATGCAGAGCTCAGAGACTGAGGAGAAATGCAACAAAACACACTGGACAAAAGGCAGGGAAGCTGAAACTGATTTTTTTTTTTTTTTTTTTTTTTTTTTTTTTTTTTTACTATTTACAGACATGGTGACAAAAATTGGAATCAATGGCTCACCAAGGAGGGGGCCCCTGGTAATAATTACAGGCTTATAGTTGGAATCTTAAAGGTCTACACTACAGAAGTAATGACAAAATAAAATAAAGAAAGACTGAATTCTCGCCCCAAATTAGTTCAGCTCCTGAGTGGATTAATGCAAGCTGCCCCTACTCTAAGTACCTGAGAAGCCCAAAAGTAAACTTTTTGTAGAGAGAGAGATCATCAGCCAGAACCTCTATAATTTTTCAAGCATAATATCAAGTATTCAATAAAAAATTACCGTGCATATAAGAAGACAGGACTAAGAGAAATCCAGACAAGAAAGAGGCCCACAGGTACTCAAATATTAGAGTTATCAGTAACGAACTTTAAATAACTCTGATTAATATTTAATAATAGAAAAGAAGAGAATTGCAAGAAAGAACTGAAATATCTGAAAAATAACAAAATTGAAATTCCAGGGCAGATGGTTACATATTTTAAATTAACAAATAAATAGGTGAATTTAATTTATACAAATAATTAAAAAATAAGTAAACTGGAAAATAGGCGAACAGAAAATCTCTAAAAAGATATTATATCTAGAAGAAAATATCTATAAAGAAAATATCTATAAGTATCACAGAAAAAATAAGGATATATATATAAAATACAGAAAAGAATGCAAAAGATATGTAAGATAAAGAACTAATATACATTCTCTTCCAGACTTAAATTATGTAAGTAATTATCTAAGTTACTTGAGTCTAAAAGGGGAGGAGAGGGAGGATGAGGTAAAAGTAAATATTGCAGAGATAATAACCAGGAAACTTTTAATAATGATAAAAAGTAATCTAGCCAATGATTCAAGTCCTGCTGTGATCACAAGCAAGACAAAAATAAAGAAAATTACTCATAGGCATATCAAGACAAAACTGCTAAATACCAACTAAAAGAAAATATTCCTTAAATTATGTAGAAAAGAAAAGAAGTGTTACAAACAAGGGACATCAAGGGTAACAGAAAAATTCTGACAGAAAGGATGTAAGTCAAAAGAATGATATATCGAAAAGTCTGAAGTAAAATAACTGCACTGTTATTTCTATAGCCAGTGAAACCATCTTTCAAAAATAATTTATAAATAAAGAAATGCTCAAACAAACAAATATTTATACTTTTCTTTACTAATAGAACTGCCATATATTTATGTCAGAAAAGAATAATCCCTGATGATTTCACAGAAACCCAGGAAAGAATGAGAAGCAACAAAGGCTAAATATGTGGATAAATTTAAATGAATACTGGTTACACAAAATAATAACAATAGTAATAATTTTAAATACATATACATTTTAAGATACAATACAATACAAATAGGAGGCAGAGGGAAGGTTGTAGAATTCAAGCATTCTAAAGTCCCTCCCTGCACTATATAGGAAATGGTAAAAAAAAAAAAAAAAATTAGTTTATATTAGATTCTAATACTAAGTCAAGGACACATATCACAATTTCTAGGATAACTGCTAAAGAAATGGTAATAAGAAATGGGGAAAATACAGTAATAAATAAATATTTGATTAAACAAAAAAATAGAAAAAAGAAGTAACAATTTGTTATATAAAAATGTAGTAATATGGTACATGTAAAACCAAGTATATCAATAATTACATTAAATATAAATTGAATAAAAACTCCAATTAAAAGGCAAAGATTGTCAGGCCGAATTTTAAAAATTAACATACTGTTTACAAGAGACCACTTTAAATATAATGACACAAAGTTACAAGTAAGATTGAAAAAGAAGATATACTGTGCAATACTAACCGAAAGAAATTAGCTCCATTCATAGCAGGGAAAATCGACTTTAAGGCAAAAGTATTACAACAGAAAAAGAGGAACAGTTCATAATGTTAATAGGGTCAACTTACAAGAAGGTGTAATAATACTAAATTTGAATGTTTCTAAAAATATAGCTTTAAAATGTGTGATGAAAGAGGCTCTGAAGAAAAGGAAAATGAACTGCCAATCATTATGAGAAATTATAATACATCCTTAGCCTATTTTAGTTCACCTAGAGTTGGACAGTTTTTGATACAACTGACAGCATCCCGTATCAGGTGCCTACACACCTTGCTTTTCTGCCTGGGAGCTTTCTCTAGAATCTTGAGAAAATTCATCTTCATCTGTAAATACAATCTAGAAACACAGAGGGATCCGTGCCTCTGGGCACAACCCTCAACTAATGGAAGACAGGAGATAGCAGGCAATTTTTTTTTTTTTTTTTTTTTTTTTTTTTTTTGGCCATTCTGTCCAACAGTGAGAAAATTCTGAGGCATGTGCTACACATTATTTTTAGACAGTCTCAAATGGCATTAAGCCCTAGTTTTCAAGAGTGGTGACCACCTCAATAATATATCCTTTATTGATAACTCTTACCTTTCTTGGCTTACTTTCTCTATTCCCTTCTTGTGATATCTAGGGTTGCCACTCAGATAAACCACCCGAGCCCAAGTATTTTTTCCTCAGTGTGTGATTTTAAGAGGACCCAAGCTAACACAGTAACTTACTTAGTAGCAAGTAGTAAAAATATATAATTTGAATATAATTAACAAATGTTGATGTAACTGAAATATGTAGAATACTGTATCCAGAAACTACAAAATACAAACAATATTTTTGAAAAATGTATTTTTATATTTCCAAACAATATGGTATTTTTCTCTGTCTTATTGATTTCTAGGCTATTTCCATTCTGATTAGAGAATGTATGCTTAAGCATTAAGGTGACCATATTGCCCAAAGCAACCTACAGATTCAACACTATCCCTGTCAAACTACCAATGTTATTTTTCATTGAACTAGAAAAAAACTATTCTAAAATTCATATGGAACCAAAAAAAAACTATTCTAAAACTCATATGGAACCCAAACAGCCAAAGCAATCCTAAACAAAAAGAACAAAGCCAGAGGCATCACATTACCTGACTTTAAACTATACTATAAGGCTACAGTAACCAAAACAGTGTGATACTGGTACAAAAACAAACACATAGACCAATGGAACAGAATAGAAAACCCAGAAATAAAGCCATATACCTACCACCATCTGATCTTCAACAAAGTCAAAAAAATAACAATAATAAGCAAGAGGGAGAGGAATCTCTATTCAATAAATGGCGCTGGGACAGCTGGCTATTCATATGCAGAAGAACGAAACTGGACCCATACCTTTCACCATACACAAAAATTAACTCAAGATGGATTAAAGATTTAGATATAGATCTCAAACTATAAGAGTCCTAAGAGAAAACCTAGGAAATACCATTCTGGACATCAACCTTGGGAAATAATTTATGACTAAGTCCTCAAAAGCAATGGCAAAAAAAACAAAAATGGATGAGTGGGACCTAATTAAACTAAAGATCTTCTTATAGCAAAATAAACTATTAACAGAGAAAACAAGTAGGAGAAAATATTTGTAAGCTATGCATCTGACAAAGGTGTAATACCCAGAACCTGTAAGGAACTTAAACAACTCAACAAGAAAAACACAAATAACTGCATTTTAAAAATGGGCAAAAGACCTGAATAGACACTTCTCAAAAGAAGACATACAAGTGGCCAAAAAACATATGAAAACGTGCTACCCATCACTAATCATCAGAGAAATACAAATCAAACCATAATGAGATACCATCTCACACTAGTCTGAATGATTATCATTAAAAAGTCAAAAGACAACGGATGCTGGCAAGGCTCTGGAGAAAAGGGAAAGCTCATATACTGCTGGTAGGAATGTAAATTAGTTAAGCCACTTTGGAAAGCAGTTTGGAGATTTCTCAAATAACTTAAAACATAACTACCATTTGATCTAGCAATCCCGTTACTGGGTATACATCCAAAAGAAAACAGAGTATTCTACCAAAAAGACACATGCACTTGTGTGTTTGCAGCACTATTCATAACAGCAAAGACATGGAATCAAGTCAAGTATCCATCAATGGTGGATTAGATAAAGAAAATGTGGTACGTATGCACCATGGAATACTATGCAACCATAAAAAAGAATGAAATCATGTCCTTTGCAACAACATGGATGCAGCTGGAGGCCATTATCTTAAGTGAATTAATAAAGGAATAGAAAACCCAATACCATGTGTACTCACTTATAAGAGGGAGCTAAACATTGGGTTCTCTTGGACATTAAAATGGCAGTAATAGAAAATGAATACTACTGAGGGGGGAGGGAGGATAACAAAGACTGAAAAACTAACTATTGGGTACTATGCTCAGTACCTGGGTGATGAGATCATTCATACCTCAAACCTCAGCAATACACAATATACCCAAGTAACAAACCTGTACATGCACACCCTGAATCTAAAACAAAAGCTGAAAATAATTAAAGTAAAAAATATAAAATATTCTGTGGCTTTCTTTATAGCCCAGCATATGATCAATTTTGGTAAATATTTCATATGTATCTTTAAAAAGATGCATTTTGGTGAGTAAATGTAATGTGGCATTCTGGATGGAATTCTGGAACAGAAAAAAAAGCATTGGTTAAAAACTAAGGAAATTTGAATAAAGTATGCACTTTACTAATAATGTATCAATATTGGCTCATTATTTATACCAATGTAACATAATCATATAAGATGTTAATAACAGAGAAAACTGGGTATGAACATATGGAAACTTTGTAACATCTTCACTATTTTTTCTCACAATTTTAGTAAATCTAAAAGTGTTCTTGGCCAGTCATGGTGGCTTATACCTGTAACCCCAGCACTTAGGGAGGCCGAGGTGGGCGGAACACTTGAGCTCAGGAGTTCGAAACCAGCCTGGCCAACATGGTGAAACCCCACCTCTACTAAAAATACAAAAATTAGCCAGGTGTGATGGCACACACCTGTAGTCCCAGCTACTCAGGAGGCTGAAGCAAGATAATCGCTTGAACTCAGAAGGCGGAGGTTGCAATGAGCCAAGATCGCACAACTGCAATCCAGCCTGACAGAGCTAGACTCCGTCTCAATCAATCAAGCATGTTCAAAAAATAAAGTTTATTTTGAGACACAATTGGTATTATTTTATTAATACATAATATTTTACATAGAGTAGATGTGGTATTTTGTTATTAATACATGCACAGAATGTGTAATGACTAAGTCAGGACATTTGGGATATCCATCATCTTGAGTATTTGCCATTTTTATGTGTTAGGAACATTTCAAGTCCTCTCTTCTCCTACTTTGAAACATAGAATACATTGTTGTTAACTACAGTCATTCTCCTCTGCTACCGAATATTAAAGCTTATATCTTCTAACTGTGGGTTTGTGCCCATTAACCAGCTTCTCTTCATCTCCCCTCCTACCCAAACATCCTTCTCAGCCTCTAGTATCTATCATTCTATTCTCTAGCTCCATGAGATCAACTTTTAAATTTTCCACATATGAGTGAGAACATGCAATATTTGTCTTTCTGTGGCTGGTTCATTTTACTTAACATAAGGACCTACAGTTCTACACATGTTGCTACAAGTGGCATAATTTTATTCTTTTATACGGCTGAATAATATTCCATTGTGTATATATACCACATTTTCTTTATCCATTCATTCATTGGTGGACACTTAGTTTGATTCCATATCTTTCTTATTGTGACTAGTGCCACAATAAACATGCAAGTGGAGGTATCCTGTTGATATATTGATTTCTTTCCCTTGGGATAAATATCCAGTAGTGGGATTACTGAATCATATGATAGTTCTATTTTTAGATTCTTGAGAAATCTCCATACTGTTTCCATAGTGGTTATACAAATTTGCATTCCCACCAATAGTATAAAAGACTTCTCTTTTTTCCACATTCTCATCACTTATGTTTTCTCTTTTTAATATTAGCCATTCTAACTGGGGTGAGATGATATATCATTGTGGTTTGATTTACAGTTCCCTGATGGTAGTGATGTTGAGCATTCTTTCATATACCTATTGGTTATTTGTATGTCTTCTTTTGAGAAATGTGTATTTATGTCCTTTGTTCATTTTTTTAATAGGATTGTCTTTTTTACTGTTGAGTCGTTTGAGTTCTTTGTATATTCTGGATATTAGGCCTTTGTCAGATGAATAGTTTGCAGTTATTTTATCCCATTTAACAGGTTGTCTCTTCATAGATTGCTTTTGTTTTGCTTTCAAGAAGCTTTACAGTTTTAGCTTAATATAGTCCCATTTGTCTATTTTTGTTTTTGTTGCCTGTGTTTTTGAGGTATTAGCCATATAATGTTTGCCTAGATCAATGTCCTGAAGTACTACCCCTATGTTTTCCTCTAGTAGATGAACAGTTTTGTGGTCTTATATATAAGTCTTTAATTCATCTTGAGTTGATTTTTGTATATGATGAGAGACAGAGGTCCAGTTTCATTCTTCTGGTTATGAAAAACCAATTTTCCTGGCCCCATTTATTGAAGAGCATTTCCTTTCCCCAATATATGCACATGACAACTTTGTTGAAAATCAGGCTATAGGTATGTGGCTTTATTTCTGGGTTCTCTATTCTGTTCCATTAGTTTATGTGTCTATTTTTATACCTATATCATGCTGTTATGGTGACCATAGCCTTGTGATATATTTTGAAGTCAGGTAGAGTGGTACCTCTAGCCTTGTTCTTTTTGCTCAGGATTGCTTTGGCTATTTGGCTTCTTTTATGGGGCCATACAAATTTTAAGCATTTTTTTCTAATTATGTGAAAAAAGATGTTAGTATTTTGCTAGGCATTGTCTTGAATCTGTATACTGTTTGGGGCAGTATGGTCATTTTAATCATATAAATTCTTCAAATCCATGAGAATGAGATGTATTTCCATTTGTTTGTATCTACCTCAGTTTCTTTCATCAGTGTTTTGTGGTTTATCTTGCAGAGGTCTTCCACCTACTTGGTTGAATTTATTCCTAGTTATTTATTTTAGCTATTATAAATGGGATTACCTTCTTGATTTCTCAGTTAGCTCATTATTGATATATAGAAATGCTGTTGATTTTTTTATATTGATTCTGTATTGGAGTTAATCTCTCCCTTTAGATCTAATAATATTTGCTTTATATATCTGGGTGCCTTCATGTTGGGCTCAAGTGTGTTTAGAATTGTTATGTCCTCTTGCTGAATTGGTCTCTATATTACAAAATGACCTTCTTTATTTCTTTTTACGTTTTTGAATAAAGTCTGATTTATCTGATATAAGTATTGCTACTTCTGCTCTTTTTTGGTTTTCAATTGCATGAAATATCTTTTTACTTTACAGTAGATCTTTTACATCTACTTTAAGTATATATATGTCTTTACAGGTGAGATTAATTTCTTATAAGTAGCATGTACTTGGGTTGTTTTATCATCCATTCAGCCAGTCTGCACCTTTCAAGTGGAATGTTTAATCTATTTACATTCAAGGTTATTATTGGTATGTGAGGGCTTATTTCTGATATTCATTAATTTATTTCTGCTTGTTTTGTATATCTTACTCTTATGGTTTATCATTGTGGTTTGGTGGTCTTCTGTAGTGGTAACATTTGAATCTTTTCTTTGTGTATTTACTTTACCAGTAGGTTTCATATTTTTGTCTATTTTCATAATAGAAGATACCTTTTGTTTTTATTCTAGTTGTAGGACTCCCTTAAGCATTTATTGTAGACCTAGACTAGTGCTGATTAATTCCCTCAGCTTTTGCTTGTCTGGGAAAGACTTTATTTCTCCTTAATTTACTTCTCCTTTACTGGGTATAGTATCTTGGTTAGCAATTTTGTTTGGTTTTGTTTTTGTTTTTCCTTTCAGCACTCTGAATTTATCCTACATTTTCTCCTGGCCCATAAGGTTTCTGCAGAGAAATCTGCTGTTAATCTGATGGAGGGTCCTTTATAAGTAACTAGACACTTTCTCACACTCTTTTTAGAATTCTTTCTTTGTCTTTGAATTTTGATAGCTTGATTATAATGTGCTATGGAGAAGAACTTTTGAATTGTATCTCTTTGAGGATCTCCAAGCCTCCTATGTCTCAATGTCTGAATCTCTTGTTAGATTGGAGAAATTTTCAACTATTATTTCATTAAATAGGTTTTTTTAACCATTTCATTTTCCCTTTGCCTTCTGAAACACAAAAGTTTAAATATACGTCTGCTTATGGTGTTTCATATGTTACATAGCTTTTGCTCACTTTTAAAATTCTCCTGTCTTTATTTTCCTCAAACTAGATGATTTCAAGAGACCTCTCATCAAGTTCTGAAATGCTTTCTTCTGCTTGATCTGGTCTATTATTGAAGCTTTTTGAGTTTGTTTTGTATTTCATTCAATGAATTTTTCAGTTCTGGAATTTCTGTTTCATTGTTATAATACATATCTTCTTTGGCAAATTTCTCATTCATATCCTAAATGTTTTTCTAATTGCTTTGTATTATTTTCCTGTATTATCTTGAATTTCACTGAGCTTTTAAAAATCAACATTTTAATTTTTTTCCGTGATTTTGTAAATTTCTTTTTGATTGGAGTCTATTGCTGAATAATTACTGTGTTCCTTTAGGGATGTCATATTTCCTTGCTTTTTCATGTTTCTTGTGTCCTTACATTGATATCTAAGCATCAGGTATAATAGTCATTTCTTCCCATTTTTTATATTTACTTCCGTAGGGGAGGACTTTTTCCTGAACACACAATGTTGATAGTGTAGGATACTTTGGCTTTGATTCTGGGTGTGTGCAGTAGTGTGATCTCCATATGATTTCCTCAGCTATAAACAGGGTCAGTGGTGTCTGTCATTTCCTCAGTGGCTTATTATGGCACAGCTGTTAGTGAAGGCTTTGGTGAAGTTTCCTGGGGACCAGGATGCCAGTGGGCCAGTATTTGGGCCCCAGTAGTGGCAGTGATGGTAGGCTATGCATGTTTCTCTTTGAACCCCAGAGTGGTGTATTATGCTGGCATTGGTGTTAGCATGTCAAGGCAGGCCAATTCTAGAACCTCAAAGTGGGTTGGTCAGGTGCTTGGAATGGGAGCAGTGGGCCAGGTGGTTGGGTGGGTCCTCAGGCCCCTGGGCAACAGGCATGGTGTGGGTGATGGCAATAGCAGTGGAGGGAGAACCTCTGGGTCCCCAGTTGTCCATTTTGGTGTTGACAGTGGTTGCAGTGGGCTGGATGGGCCATTCCCCAGGCCTGTAGGTGGTGTGTGGGTCTGGGTGTCAGCTGTGGTATTAGTAGCGGGTTGGGTGAGCTTGGCCTTAGGGACTCAAGACAAATGCTCAGGTGCCAATGGTGACAATCTGGGCTAAACAACCTCAGGCCCCAGATGATAGGCTTGTGTCCTGGTGGGAGTAGAGCTGGGCTGGGTGAACCTGTCCTCAAACATCCTGATGGTGCACTCAGGTACTGGCTGTGGTAGGCAGGTGTGGGGTGATTCCTAAGCTGCTGGCAGAATGCTCAGGTAGGGGCAGCAGAGTCTATACTGGGGCCCTGTTTCTGGGGAGAGAGGGGTTGCTTTCAGCTTATGGCTGGGAGCAGCCATAAGCAGACAGCTAAAGGACATCTGCTCCACTTGCATCTTAACCTTAAGAAACAGCCCACAACAACAGCAACTTTGGGCAACTGAGTCTGTCCTTGGGGTGTGTTAAAATCTGCAAGTGGCCCTCTGCTGGAGGGGTGGGGTCACCCATGCTTTGGTCCCAGTGATGGCAGCAGCTCTCAGAGACTGTGGCTCAGGCAGGGTAGCCTTTCAGCATGACTGTCTGTCTGCTGGGTGGGGCAGGGCCACTGCCAGTGGCTCATGCTTTGGCCCTGGTGGCAGCTGCAGGTAGGAAATGTCTATAGCGTTTGGGGGATGTGGTGATGCACAGCCAGTGGAGCCCCAGGGCAGGATGCCATCTTGGTGGGGTTTGGGCTCTCAAAATGGTACCTTGCTGTGGCTGCTTAGGGCTTGTGGGTATATGGGGCCATGCTGCCACAGTCTCCAGGCAGCTCCCTGTGTCAGTCTTGGGGCCCATGAAGATCAAGGGGCTCTCTGGTGGCTAAGATTGCAAAAGTCCACGGTGGGAATGTGGACTACTGTGGGTCTCTCACTTACCCTTTCCCTGTACTGGGGAGTCTCTCCAGGTTCCCTGCTGATTTCAGCCAAGCGGGGTGCCTCTGTTTCCTCTCCCTCCTTTTTGTAGGTGCTTCGTGTCACTTATCTATTGAATTCTAGTGCTCTTTCTTAGATTATCTATTTGAAGTGTGGTTATATGCTCACTGTTTTGGTGCTTCTTTGTGGAGGAGGTGGGTGGGTACCAGATGCATCTACTCTGCCAACTTGAAGCCCCTCTTTATCATCAATTTAAATGTAAAACTGTACATTTTTTAGAAGAAAACAAGATAAAATACTTAGAACAAAAGTCTTAAGACTTCATAGACATGACACCAAAGGCATGATCCATATTTTTAAAAAATTCAATAAATTGGAATTTATCAAAACTAAAAACTTTTGTTCTGTGAAAGATCCCTTTAAGAGGATGAAAGGACAAGCACAGATGAGAAGAATATATCTGCAATCTACATGTATAATAAAAGACTCATATCTGGAATGCATAAAGTCTCTCAAAACTCAATAGTCATTTTATGGTTTCAGATCTTACATTTAATACTTTAATTCATTTTGAGTTAATTTTTATATACGGTGTAAGGCAAGGATCTAATTTCATTATTTTGCATGTGGATATCCAGTTTTTCCATCAACATTTTTTAAAGAGACTTTCATTTTTGATATGACACCAAAAGCATAGGCAACAAAAGCAGAAGTAGACAAATGGAATTACATCAAACCAAAGATCATCTGCACAGCAAAGAAAACAACTAACAAAATGGAAAGGCAAGCTATGGAATGGGAAAAGAATCTTTGCAAACCATAGATCTTATAACGGGTTTATACACAAAATAAAGAAGGAACTCATATTACTCAATAACAAAAATATCAATAATCTGATTTATAAAATGGGCAAAGCACTTGAGTAGATTTTTCCAAAGAAGACATACAAATAACAGGTATGTAAAAATGTGCTCAACATTGTTAATCATCAGAGAAATGCAAATTAAAATCACAATGAGCTATCACCTCACACCTGTTAGGAAGGCTATCAAAAAAGGTCAGCGATAAAGAGTAGTCAGAGTATGGAGAAAAGGGAACCTTTGTACGCTATTGGTGGAAATGTAATTTGGTACAGCCAATTATGGAAAACAGTATGGAAGTTCCTCAAAAAATTAAAATTGGGACTATCATGTGATCGAGCAATCCCACCTCTAGACATATACAAAGGAAATAAAATCAATATCTTGAAGAGATCTCTGCATCCCATGTTCATTGTAGCATTATTCACAATAGCCAAGATATGGAAACAACCTAATTGTTTATACATGGATGAACACATAATTGTGGTACATACATACAATAGAATATTATTTAGCCCTAAGAAGACAGAAATCCTGCCACATCATGGATGAACCTAGATAATGTTATGCTAAGTGAAATAAGCCAGACACAGAAATGCTATATGATCTTACTTACATGTGGAATCTTTAAAGTAGAACTCACAGAAGCAGAGAGAAGAATGGCAATTGCCTGGTACTAGGAAATGGAGGAAGTAGAGCAATGTTGGTCAAAGGGTACAAACTTTTAGTTACAAGGTGAACAGGTTCTGAGGATCTAATATCAGCATAGGTGTTGACAGATGTGTTAATTAATTTGATTGTGGTAATCATTACAATATATGTACATCAAAGGATCACATTGTACATCTTGAATATGGTCAAATCTTTATTTGACAAATATGTTAAAATAAGAACAAAACTCAACAGCTAAAAAAACACAATCTAATAAGAAAAGAGGAAAATCACACGAAAAGACATTTCAACAAAGAGGAATATAGATAATAAATAAGCACAAAATATTCAACCTCACCAGGCATCAAGAAAGTCCAAATTACAACTGTGATGAGATATCAACACACACCTATTTGAATAGCTAAAATAAATAATGATAATAACAAATGCCTACAATAATGCAGAGAAACTGAATCCTTGATACATCAATGGTAAGAATACACATGGTACAGTCACTGTGGAAAATAGTCTGGCAATTTCCTACAAAACTAAAATGTGCTTACCATAGGACTCAGCAAACAGCCTTCTGTGAATTTGTCTCTAAAAATGAAAAAATATGTTCACAAAGCAATCTGTATATGAATGTTAAACTGGCTTGTATCTGGGAGAATCAGTTGGCTCCCAGATAATTTAGGATTATAATGCTGTGGGTTCTAGTTAACCCACATTGGGAGTGATTCACCACTCCAAGTGTGGGTTCCAGCTTAACTTGATATTGCATGATTCTGATGGAACTCTAATGGAACTCTTCCATTTTACTGAGGTTGATCAAAATCATAGGCAGAATTCACACAGATTAAAATGGAAGATTCCATTCATGAGAATCACAAGAAAAATTTGACTTTAACATGAGTGGTAGTTACAAACTTTTTAAATAAAAGGAGCATCAGACGTAAAAATATTCGGAGTGACAATATGGAGCTGTTCTTAAGGAACAGTATGCCAAATCTATTGGTATATTATTTTTCAAAATGACTCTTAATGGCTGCTACCAGTCAATAATTTTTAGTATGAAAATCTGAAGTTTTGTGTGGAGGTAACATTGTCTGAGTAGTTTCCTTATTCTCACTGAAATGGTCAGAAACATAACAAAGCGTGGGAAGGAACAGAAGATTTAGCAAGGCTGCAGAATATGCCGTTTATTCCATGTTCAAAGCAGTAGAAAAGAAACCAAGAAGATGCCTTTATTCTTACGTGAGAATTCTATTGTTCAACATGTTCTAATTATGAAATCTGAACTCAAAAGGATGAAAGAGAAGCTCAATCCACAGTATAAAGTGTATCTTTTCTGGAAACAGTTGTTAACGACTTAAATGGCAGGTTTATGCACCCTCGACTGACCCAATAGTTAAAGTAATAAACTGTAATACTCAAAACAGTCTGCAAAGCTGCATTTCTTGATTCGTTTGTGTTCCAGACAAATTAGAAGGCTGTATGGCAGAGGGAGAAAACACTGCTAATCTTTTATGACCTATTAGGCGGTTTCACTGAAATGGAATTGTAAAAACAAATTTCTCAGGTACAAAAAATATATATGTTGTGCCATTTTCCTCAATTCAAAACGAATTCATTTATTCTTTAATCACAGAAAAAGAAAAGGCTCTGCAAATTGTGCAAAAGAAAATGTAGGGAATTTCCACAAAAGAGAATTTTAAAATAAAATGAAAAAAAGACTTCATTAATACTTTTATTCTTTTGATGCACACAAGGGAGTTAATGGAAACTGTGGCCACAGCAATCCAGAATTAATGTCTTATATTTGGAAAATCAACATGTTTGGGAACATGAAAAGAGGTAAGCTATGTGGAATGAAATAATCTTGGGTCATTATGTATCTACAATATTTGCCTCACTCAGGCGTACTCAGACATATGTTAAAGACATAACTGTCTCTACTTCCATTTGAGATTATTTTTCTCAGTAAATGAAACTCCAACCACAAAAGCAGTTGACTATTTGAAATTACAAAAAAGCTGTCAGAAGGCTTGTGTGGGAGATACATTCGCCATAAGCACCAGTGCTAGGAATCTGAGAAGCTTTTTTAATGGATTCAGAGACCTTTAGAAAAAAAAGGTCTCCTTCTCCAGTAATTGAATTTGACACCAAAGTTCTTTGGATGCTAGGGCTGTACAGGGTATTTTCCCATCCACATCTAGGCTAAATTGGAGATGGTGACCTCTGATAGACTACAGCAATCCAGGAAGTAATAGAAACCTCACTTCATAGAAACTGGTGACAGGTTGGGATTAAATTTTAGGCTGGCCAGGAACCGTCAAACTCTTTCTCAGAGAGCCCACAGGCTTCCAATAGAATGGAGATTTTTAAAAACATTCTACAAATGATTCTTTTTCCAATGTACTCTAATTACATTGAAAATTATAAACTAAGATCACTTAAGGTTTGAGACTCAAACAGGACTTAAATCCAAACAAGATGTCTTAGTTTCCTAACTTCAATACCATTTTACAGAGCTTTGTAACAATGGTGAAGGAGAAATAGTGTGGAATATAGACAGGGGTTTATGCATAAGGATGTTCCTTGAACTGTTGTTTAAAATAGTGAAAAAGCAGACACAGGTCCTAAGTATTCAGGAGCAATAATTGGTTAAGCAAGGTATATAATAGAAGTTTATGAAGTCATTAGAAAGCATCTTTTTAAAGGATATTTAATTAGGTAAGTTTCTCAAGCTACATTACTGTAAAAGCAATATACATAATTATACATCTAATGGATATACAAATACCTGGATATATAATATATACATAGATTAAAAATTAGAAATTATGGAGTAACAATCAGTAGGCAATCAGATTACAAATGATTTTCTTTTTATATAGTTTTGCTAACTTACATGTTTACTACAACTAATGTGTACTACTTTATAGCCAGAAATATGAAAAACAGTATTTGAGAGAGTAAAAATATAGTTATAGTCCTTTGAACCACTAAAATTTTTGTATATTCAGTTATTAATTATTAATATGTTTGTTAGACAAGAATTTATTTAAAACATTGTGTTTGGACTTCTGAGAAAGATCTAGAGAAAACTCCTCTCCCAGAAACTCACAGAAGAGAATAAAAATGAATTAAAATTACAGAATGAAATTTTATGTGTTATAAAACTAGGGAAATGACAGAAATCTATACAATAAACCCTAAAGAATATCTACAAACTTTAATTAAATTTTCCAATTAGAGAAGTATATGAAGCATCTCCCTAAATAATCTCCCTTAAAGACTAATTGATAGAATAATCTTTTGACATATCTGCAGCACTAGAAATAATAATTTAGATTGACACAAATTGACTTATAGGGATGTATTATTAAATAAGAAAAGAAGGACACTGAAAACTATATTTTTATAGACATAGTATAGGTAAAGATATATATGTACATATCTATTATTTGTAATTATATATTCCAATATATAAATATATATACACAAATAATTATATATTTATTTTTATAAAACAATGCCTTGCAAACTCTTAGTGATAGATAGTGTACAGGCATGAGAAAGAGAAAGAAAGAGATAGATTATACGGGCATAGAAAAAATATGAAAGAATTGACACACACAGGTGCTAACCTTAACAGAAGAGAGCTACTTAGAAGTCAAATAAAATAATCAAAGTTATGTTTTAAATCATATACATAAACCTCTCCTTCTTGCCATGATGGTAACTGGTAACTGAACTTGTTTTTCCAACAATTATAAAACTGGACAAAACGTATGAGTCAACTGTTTGCAGATGTTGAAAAACAGACAGCACAGGATGTAATTTTTTAAAGAAGGAAAACATATGAGATAAGCCCAACAGTTTCTCCACAATTGCCCTGATTTTCTGCCTAATGGTATTTTTCTGCCACAGATCAGGAAGGGAAAGCCAAGCAGAGCAGCAGTCTTGCTGAGTTGAGAAGGCAGATACTGGAGTTCCAGACTGCTGAACCAGCTGGAATTTTTAGAGCAAAGCACATGAGAAAAGAGAGCTATGGTAAAGGGAGAATGAATCTCATCAGCTAGAATGCTAGGCTGAGGACTGACTTGATCATGCAACAGGATGAGTGTCTACAAAATCAATCAGAGATTGCCTGCTACAGGGATGATAGCTAAACAATAATATTTGAGGCTGTGCTGTGTTAGGAGACATTGGAGTTCTATCCCTACGACATTCAAGAGACTACACTAAGCACAGTGCACATTCAATGGATAATAATCATAGCTAGAGTAAGACACATGCCTTAGAATGTGGTCCAAAACTGAAATAGACCATCCTTCACAAAGAATAAAAAAAAATCTACAGGATCAAAATAGTTTGTCTGCAAAAAAAGTAATTTAAAGTCTTTTATAATAAGACAATATAACCCAAACTCCCCACAACATATCATCTAAAATGTCTACCACATACTCAAAAATTAGTAGAAATGTGAAAAAAAAAAAAAAAAAACAAGAAAATGTGATCCACAAGTAGGATAAAAATTAGTTAATAGTAACAGGACCAAAAATGACTTAGCTATTCTGAACAGCAGATAATATTTTTAAACAGCTATCATAAATATGTTTAAAATCTTAAAGAAAAATATGGTTATAATGAATAAAAGAATGAGAAATTCAACAGAGAAATGTTATAAAAAAGAATCACATTGAAATTTAATAAATGAAGTGAACAGTATCTGAAATAAAAAAAATTCACTAAATGGGCTCCTTATCAGACTGGGTGCAGCAAAGGAAAGAATCAGTGAACTTCAAAACAGATCAATACAATTTTTCCAATGTTAATAACAGAGAGAGAAAGGATTAAAACAAAATGAACAGAATATCAATAATCTTTAAGAATATATTAAGAGAAGATAGAGAGAAAATGGAACAGAATAAATATCTGAAGAAGTAATAGTAGATAATTTCCCAAGTTTAGTGAGAAACATCAATATATACCTCCAAAAAACTAGCAAAATGTAAACAGAAAATATTCAAAGTGATTCAGCCCTAGACGCATCATAATCAAAGTGCTAAAAATCAAAGAATAAATTATAAAAGTAGCCAGAGATTAACCACATATTATACACAAAGGAACTATAGTATCAATAGTGGCTGATGTCTCATGAGAAATAATGAAATCCATTTAAAAAACTGAATAGCATCTTTAAAATTATAAAGGAAAGCAAATGTCATTTCATAATATTATATCGAGAGAAAATGTCTTCAAATAAAGGTAAGATAATGATATTTTCAGACAATAAAAACTGAGAGAATTTGTTATTAGCAAACCTTTACTAAGAAAATTCTAAAACAAGTTCTTCAGGCTGAAGGAAAAATTATATCACATACAATGAAAACCTACAGAAAGGAATAGAGAACACTGGAAATGTTAAATGTAAAAGTGTATGTAAAAGACATCTTATTTTTGTCTTATTATCTTTAAAATCATTTAACTTTTTAAAGCAAAAGTTGTAATATTGATTAAAGGTTTAAAATGTTTAGAGACTTATAACAACAAGATTATAAAGTTTCAGAAATAAATGGTACTATGCTGTTGCAAGGTTATACCTTCTGTAAAGGATAAAACATTTACTCTAAAAACAGTGATAAATTAAGGATGCATATCGTAATTCCTAGAAAAGCAACTACAAATAAAATATATCTAAAAATCCAATAGAATTATATTTGATTAACACAAAGAAGACTTGTAGTAAAGTCCAATAGAATTATATTTGATTAACACAAAGAAGACTTGTAGTAATAGATGGGAACAAAAAACAGACAAGACAAATAGGGAAAAAATAGCAAAATGGTAGACAAATCTATCCATGTCACTAACCATTTTACATGTTAATGGATCAAAGACTCCAAATAAAAAGCAAAGGTTGTTGAGCTAGATAAGGGAGAAAAGGAAGCTATTCTAAATTATGTGTTGTTAATAAAAGATACTTTTTTGTTAAAAAGAGACACATTGGTTGAAAGTTTTAAATGTAAAAGACATACCAATCAGGCTGGGCATGGTGGCTCATACATGTAATCCCAGCACTTTGGGAGCCAAGGCAGGTGGATCACCTGAGGTCAGGAGTTTGAGACCAGTATGACCAATAAGGTGAAACCCTGTTTCTACTGAAAAATACATAAATTAGCTGGGCGTAGTGGCGTGTGCCTGTAGTCCCAGCTACTTGGGAGGCTGAGACAGAAGAATTACTTGAACCTGGGAGGCAGAGGTTGCAATGAGACAAGATTGCACCACTGCACTCCAGCCTGGGAAATAGAGCAAGATTCCATCTCCAAAAAAAAAAAAAAAAAAAAAAAAATACCAACCACACAATAAGTAAAAGAAAACTGGAATAGAGAGAGAGAAACTCCATTTGTTTGGGAGAATGTAAGGGAAGAGAACAAGAATTCCTGCCTGGTAATCTACAGCATTCTCCCAGATCTTGTCTAAGACCATCACAGTGGTACCTCTACGAGTCTGCAAGAACCACAGTGTTACTGGGCTTAGGGTGCCCCCTAAAGCAGATACTCCTTAGATCAAAACACCTAAGTCCTTTAGAATATCTGGAAAGCCTTCCCAAGGACAGGTACAAATAAGGCCAGGCAGTGGAGACTCAATAAATACCTAACTCTTCAATGCACAAACACCAAAGAACATCTACTAGCATCAACACCATCCAGGAAAACATGACCCCACCAAATGAACTAAATAAGGCACCAAGGACCAATCCCAGAGAGACAGAGATATGTGACTTTCTAGACAGAGAATTCAAAATAGCTGTATTGAAGAAACTCAAATAAATTCAAGATAACACAGAGAAGGAATTCAGAATTCAATCAGATAAATTTAACAAAAAGATTGAAATAATTTAAAAAGAACCAAGCAGAAATTCTGGAGTTGAAAAATGCAATTGGCATACTGAATAATGTATTACCAGCTCTTAACAGCAGAATTGATCAAGGAGAAGAAAGAATTAGTAAGCTTGAAGACAGGCTATTTGAATACACAGTCAGAAAATACAAAAACAGTAAAAGAATGAAGCATGCCTGCAGGATCTAGAAAATGGCCTCAAAGGGGCAAATCTAAGAGTTATTGGCCTTAAATAACTCTTAGGAAGTAGAGAAAGAGACAGGGGTAGAAAGTTTACTCAAAAGGACAATAACAGAGAACTTCCCAAGTCTGGAGAAAGATATCAATATCCAAGTACAAGAAGGCTATATAACATAAAGCAGATTTAACCCAAAGAAGACTACCGCAAGGCATTTAATAATCGAGCTCTGAAAGGTCAAGGATAAAGAAAGGATCCTAAAAGCAGCAAGAGCAAAGAAACAAATAACATAAAATGGAGTTCCAATATATCTGGCAACAGACTTTTTAGTGGAAACCTTACGGGCCAGGCCAGAGCATACTTAAAGTGCTGAAGGAAAAAAAACTATTATACTATAATAGTATATTCAGCAAAAATATCCTTCAAACATGAAGGAGAAATAAAGATTTTCCCAGACAAAAAAAAAGCTGAGTAATTTCATCAACACCAGACCTGTCCTAGAAAAAAATGTTAAAGGGAGGCTCCAATCTGAAAGAAAAGGATGTTATTGAACAATAAGTAATCATCCAAAGGTATAAAACTCACTGGAAATAGTAAGTATACAGAAACACACAATATTATAACATTTTAACTGTGGTATTTATAATAGTCTTATTCCAAATAGAAAGACTAAATGGTGAACCAATGAAAAATGGTAACTACAACTTTTGAAGACATAGACAGTACAATAAGATGTAAATAGAAACAACAGAAAGTTAAAAAGCAGGGGAATGAAGTTAAAGTGAAGAGTTTTTATTAGCTTTCTTTCTGCTTCTTTATGCAAACACTGTTAATGGCTATAAGATAGTATTTTCAAGCCTCATGGTAACCTCAAACCAAAAAACACACAAGTATCCAAAATTAAACAATGATAAATTAAATTATGTCACCAGAGAAAATCATATTCACTAATAGAAGACAGGAAGGGAAGAAAAAAGGAAGAGCAACCACAAAACAACCAGAAAACAAATAATAAAATGGCATGAGTAACTCCTTATTTATTAATAACACTATTGAATGTAGATGGACTAAATTCTCCAATCAAAAGACAGAGTGGCTGAATGGATTAAAAAAAAAAAGCCACCGATCTGTTGCCTATAAGAAACACACTTCATGCATAAAAACATGCATAGACTGAAAATGAAGAAATGGGTAAAGATATTCCACGCCAATGGAAACCATAAAATAGCAGGAGTAGCTATACTTAGACAAAATACATTTTTTAAGACAAAAACTGTAAGACGAGACAAAGAGGATCACTATATAATGATAAAGTGGTCAATATATTTAAACAATTTTAAATATATATTAACCCAACATTGGAGCACCCAGATATATAAAGCAAATATTATTAGAGCTAAAGAGAGAAGGACAGGCCCCAATACAATAATAACTAGGGACTTCAACACCCCATTTCAGCATTCAACAGATCTTCCAGAGAGAAAATCAACAAAGAAACACAGGCTTTAATCTGCACTATAGACCAAATGTACTTAAGAGATATTTACAGAACATTTCATGCAACGCCTGCAGAATGCACATTCTTTTCCTGAGCACATGGATCATTCTCAAGAGTAAACCATATGTTCAGTCACAAAATGAGTCTTAAAACATTAAAAAAAAAGTGAAATAATATCAAGCATCTTTTCTGACTGCAATGGAATAAAACTGAAAATCCAATAACAAGATGAATTTTAGAAACTATACAAACACATAGAAATTAAACAATATGCTCCTGAATGATCAATGGCTCCATGGGATCAATGAAGAAATTAAGAAACAAATTTAAAATTTTCTTGAAACAAATGATAATGGAAACCTAACATATCAAAACCTACAGGATACTGCAAAAGCAGTACTAAGAGGGAAGTTTATAGCTATAAGTATCTCCATCAAAAAAGAAGAAACATTTCTGCTAAACAATTTAATGATGTATCTTAAAGAACTAGAAAAGCAAAAGCAAACCAAACCCAAAGTTAGCAGAAGAAATAATAAAACTCAGAGGCAGAAACAAATAAAATAGAAATGAAGAAAACAATACAAAAGATCAATGGAACAAAAAGTTGTTTTTTTTGAAAAGTTAAACAAAATTGACAAATCTTTAGTCAGACTAACAAAAAAGGAGAGAAGACACAAAATCAGAGATGGTGACACTATAACTGATCAGAAATTCAAAGGATCAGTAGTGGCTACAATGGGCACCTATATGCCAATAAACTGGAAAATCTAGAAGAAATGGATAAACTCCTAGACACACACAAGCTACCATGATTGAATCATGAAAAACCCAAAACCTGAACAGACCAATAATAAGTAAGAAGACTAAAGCAGTAATAAAAAATTATCATGATGTGATACATCATATCAACAGAATGAAGGACAAAAACTGTATGATTATTTCAATTGATGCTGAAAAAGCCTTTGACAAAATTCAACATCCCTTCATGACAAAAATCCTCAAAACACTGAGGATAGAAGGAACATACCTCAACATAATAAATGCTACATATGACAGACCCACAGCTAGTATTATATTCAATGGGGAGAAACTGAAAGCCTTTCCTCTAAGATCTGGAATATGACCAGGATGCCCACTTTCACCACTGTTATTCAACATAGTACTAGAAGTCCTATTTAGAGCAATCAGACAAGAGAATTATATAAAGAGCATCCAAATTGGAAAAGAAGGCAAATTATCTTGTTTGAAGATGATATCTTAAATTTGAAAAAACCTAGAGACTTCACCAAAAAAAACCCTATTATAACTGATAAACAAGTAAAGTTGCAGGATAGAACATCAACTTATAAAAATCAGTAGCATTTCCATATGCCAACAGTGAACAATCTGAAAAAGAAATATAGAAGTAATCCCATTTACAATAGCCACACTAGGAATAAACTTAACCAAACAAGCGAAAGATCTCTGTAATTAAAACTATAAAAATTGGTGAAATAAACTGAAGAGAAAACCAAAGAAAAAATATTCCATGTTCATGGATTAGAAGAATAAATCTTTTTAAAATATCCATACTACCCAAAGCAATCTACAGATTCAAGCCATCCCTATGTATATATCAATGACATTATTCACAGAAATAGAAAAAAAAATCCTTAAATTTATATGAAATCACACAAAAAAACAAAAACAAACAAACAACAGAATAGACAAAGCTATCCTAAGCAAAAAGGACACTGGAGGAATCACATTACCTGACTTCAAAATTTTCTACAGAGCTATAGTAACCAAAACAGCATGGTACTGGCATAAAAATAGACACAAAGACAAATGGAACTGAATAGAGAACCCAGAAACAAATCCACACACCTACAGTAAACTCATTCTGACAAAGCTGCCAACGACATACATTGGGGAAAAGATAGTCTCTTCAATAAATGGTACTGGGCAAACTAGATACCCATATGCCAAAAAATGAAACTAGACCCCTATCTCTCGCCATATACAAAAATTAAATCAAAATGGATTAAAGACTTAACTCTAAGACCTCAAACTATGAAACTACTACCAGACAACATTTAGGAAAATCTCGAAGACACTGGTCTGGGCAAAAATTTCTTGAGCAACACCTACAAGCACAGGTAACCAAAGCAGATATGGACAAATAGGATCACATCAAGTCAAAAAGCTTCTGCGCGACAAAGGAAACAATCAACAAAGTGAAGAGACAGCCCATGGAACGGGTGAAAATATTTGCAAACTACCCATCTGACAAGGGATTAATAACCAGAATATAAAAGAAGCTCAAAAACTCTATAGGAAAAAAAAATCGAATAATCTGAACAAAAACATGGGCAAAAGATTTAAATAGGCATTTCTCAAAAGAAGACATGCAAATGGCAAACAGGCATATGAAAAGGTGCTCAACTTCAGGGATCATCAAAGAACTGCAAATCAAAACTACAATGAGATATCATCTCACTCCAGATAAAATGGCTTACATCCAAAAAACAGGCAATAACAAATGCTGGTGAAAGGGCATCCTTGTATACTGTTGGAAGGAATGTAAGTTAGTACAGCCACTATGGAGAACAGTTTGAAGGTTCCTCAAAAAACTAAAAATAGAGCTACCATATGATCTGGCAATCCCGTTGCTAGGTAAACACCCAAAAGAAAGAAAATCGAGGCCGGGCGCCGTGGCTCACGCCTGTAATCCCAGCACTTTGGGAGGCCGAGGCGGGCAGACCACGAGGTCAGGAGATTGAGCCTATCCTGGCTAACACGGTGAAACCCCGTCTCTACTAAAAATACAAAAAAAAATTAGCCGGGCGTCATGGTGGGCTCCTGTAGTCCCAGCTACTTAGGAGGCTGAGGCACGAGAATGACGTGAATCTCGGAGGCGGAGCTTGTAGTAAGCCGAGCCTGGGCCACTGCACTCCAGCCTGGGTGACAGAGCGAGACTCCGTTTCAAAAAAAAAAAAAAGAGAAAAAGAAAAAGAAACAGAAAATCGAAGAGATGTCTGTACTCCTAGTTTGCTGTAGCGCTATTCACAATAGCCAAGATTTGGAAGCAACCTAAATGTCCATCGACCGATGAATGGATAAAGAAAATGTGGTATATATTCACAATGGAGTACTCTTCATCCATAAAAAAGAATGAGATCCTGCCACTTGGAACAACATGGATGGAACTGGAGGTCATTATGTTAAGTGAAATAAGCCAGGCAAAGAAAGACAAATTGTGCACGTTCTCATTTATTTGTGGGTGCTAAAAATTAAAACAACTGAACTCATGGAAATAGGGAGTATAAAAATGGTTGCCAGAGGCTGGGAAGAGTAGTGGGAGCTGGTGGGGAGGGGAAGTGGGGATGGTTGATGGGTACAAAAAATAGAATGAATATCTAGTATTCGGTAGCACAACAGGGTAACTATAGTAAATAACAATTCAAATATACATTTTTAAATAACTGAAAGAATATAATTGGGTTGTTTGTGACACAAAGGATAAAGACTTGAGGGGATGGATACCCCATTTACCCTGACGTGATTATTACGCATCATATGCCTGTATCAAAATATCTCATATACCCCTATGTACTATGTACCCACAAAATTTTAAAAAGGTAAAACTTAATAGGAAATCAATGGCACTTGGGTGAAGACCTACGCAATATACCTCTCTGAGGTGTGATGGGAGCTGTGCTCATTCCCAAGGGAAGGCACGTTTTCTGGACAGTGGTGATGTGTAATGTGGACTGAATTGCAAAGGAATTAGAAAAGAATTAAAATGAGATGAAGTAGGTGAAGATAATAAAAGACAGAATTTCCACTGGAATTAGAGGTGAAGATTTCAAAGCAGTACTTTGACTTTCCTTCCTTAACTGATCCTGACCATTGCCTGGTCAGGGCAGCAGGGCGTACCTAGGACACTGCAGGACCAAGGCCTCCAGCTCCAGAACTTCTCACTTTTCTTTTTGGATTTTGGATAATCCACATGGGTTAGTACTCTAGAATTTTAAGCCTATATTTTTTAAAGAATGAAATGTATTATATCTAATTACAATGTACTCATCCTTTATTTCCTGAAAGTAGAAATTCAAAAAAATCTAAAAGTAGCAAATAAGTCACTTAGGATCACTGCTTAAAAGACAACCACTGATAAAATGTAGAATTCCTGGGCCACAGTATATGAATGGGAAACATATTTCTTAATTCTTTCACCCAAAGGATTATGCTAATAAATATTTCAATCAACCATGTACCTGCATTGAATTCAACCAATTAAAATTTGTTATCCTTCCCTTCAGTACCCAGTGAGCAAAGTGCCAGCCCTTATCCTCCACAGCAATACTCGGTCCCCAGCTTCCGCTGAGTTCATCTTCTCTGAAATTTCTGAGACTCCTGTGGATACCACATCCACAGATTCATCCAAGTACTTGGTGGTCCCTCCCATTACATACTACTGCTCTGGCCTCTGCCCGTCATAGTTGCCATCTGGTCATTTCCTTCCCATAAAGCCAGGGCTCACCCAATCTACGCCATTCCAAGTGTGGATGCAGGTTTAACCTTTAATTCCTGAAAGCACAGCTAAAATGAACATAGCATGTAACTAACTTTACTAAAACCTGGGGGTCACTAAGAGGATAATAGACTATGGGTGAAAAAGTATTTTAACTAATTCTCTTGTTTCCTTCTCAAGTCTTTGGCCATGCCCCTTTTGGGGCCCCTTGCAGCCTTGTCTCTCCTTAGCCCCCTAAGGTATCCCCCTCTCACAGTGGACAGTTTACCTCCCCCAAATGGGAGGTACCTCAGCCTTGCCCCTATGCCTTCAGTCCAGCCCCAACTGCTCCTTCCTGTGCTCAGCCAAAGAAAAATGTGTTCACAAAAATCTTTACAGAGATCCAATGTTTTCCGCAAATGAGACAAGTTTTATATTATGTGCATATAACTTAATCTATCAACGTGAAACATCTTCATTCAGATTATAGTGCTATTCCTAAGAACTCTGGGTGTCCTACCTGTCTCGACACCTAAACCAATCGCTTCCAGAGCTTCCAGAACACAGGGAGAGCCTGCTGGGACAACTTCGGCTGCCACCCCACATGCAGAACCTCTTAAGACTTACTAAAGAGCAATTATTTTCGTTGCCAACAATCTTAAGATCCAGACTCTACCCTGGCCACAGAAAAACACTCCTCACAGATTTCCAGGAGTTTCTTGTCCTATATAAAGAGGTGAAAATCAGACCTCATTTTTGTTTCAGTTCACACTCCTTTGATGACATTCAACTATTTGTTCTTGATTTGCATTGTGCACCTACCCTCTGACTCTTATCTTTTTCATGTATGCCTATGTCTCCCAGATCTACACTCCACGTAGTTATTTCAGCTCCTTGCTACACACAGACAATCAGACCATGAAACCAGAAGGCAGGAGCCACCAGACAAAGGGAGGGAAGACAGTCTGAAATTTAGAGAATGATTCCACTCATCTTCTAAGAAGGTTGTGTGAGGACCGGTGTATTCTGCTGTAGGTATTAGCATTGACCAGATACCAGATACCATTTGTCTGGTATCACAATGATCAGAGTCATGTGAACACCACAAGCAGGCTCAGCTCAGGAATCAGGGCCAACTTGGGCTGCATGGACCCTACACTAGCCTTGTCCCAAGGTTTATCATCTAAGTTCCTGCTGCTTTCTCTGGAATCAAGCCATAACTTCTGAAATCCTAGAAATTATACCCCCCACACCAAATTTTACTTTCTCCCATTCATTAATTTAATAATATTTATTGGTACCAACCCTGCCAGAAAACTGTGCTAAGCACTAGGATCTTAGCAATGAACCTGACCAATATGTCCTTGCCTCCTACGAGTGAACACAGACTTGAAACAAATAATTCTAAAGAGCTAACACAAGGTGCTGTGGGCATCCCATAATAATTCCTGCCTTGGTTTCCCACCTAGTGCCTCACTTTCTCTGGAGCTGCAGTACTACCTTACTTCCCCAAAGACTCTTCTTGACCTCAAAGCTCTGCGCCCAACCCCACACTTCTCCCACAGGACCCCTGCCTGCATCAATCTCTATTAGCAGATGCCATGATGTTAACACCTGCCAGAACATTCTCCTACCTGGACTCATCCTGAAGCTCAGAGCTGCCTTGTTGCTGATGCTCACTTCTAATCATTTTCTTCCACCTGAATCTCTTCAGTCTCCAATCAGTAGTCAACCCAATTTGGAGAGAGAAAGTGATCAGATACAAGGAATCTAGGCATGAGATTAACAGAAGCTAAAAAACATAGAAAAAAATCACCCTACGAGGAGTAGTAATCTATTAATAATATATCTGGGTTTCTAAAGAGTGCTTACTTGTGTTATCTTGTTAATCTTCACTACTTCATTTGTAATTAAACTCACATAAATAAATGGTTACATAACTTGGGAAGAAAATTAGTCAAGTTTTAATTAAACAACTGGTTTTTCTATCCCAAGAGTTTGTCAAATAGAGAGCTTTGCTTTGCATATGTGTGTGCAACATGTCAGGTGTCAGAGGCAGATGTGTTCGCATAAAGTTCTTTGGTATAAAATAGAACATAAGATACCTGCATAGCTCATATGAACAATTTTTAATTAATGGGTCCACTTTCTAGAGAGCATCAACTTGAGAGGGATGGAGGGTAGTACTTCCGATCTTATATTTTTGACACAGCTTATAAAGGTCTTTGCCATTCATCAAAAGGCGAGACATATACCAGCTTCCAGAGTATAGAAATTATTGACTTCACTGATTTTTAAAACTTTGATTCATCCATAAGTACAATAAAGGGGAAATTAATTTGTGGTTGACAGAGCAAAATTGACAGAGCAAACTAAAGCCACAAATGATAACGCTGTCAGAGCAATGAAGCAGTGCAATATAAAATGGAGCAGTGGGCACAGAGGAGAGTCACGGGCACTCGTTTGCTAAGATCTGCTGCTTTTATCTCTTTATATACATAAGCAGCAGCAAACTATAATCAAATAAACATGCAGCAAGTCATCGGAATAATGTCATTGAAATTTTGTCTGCTCAGTGCTTCAGGAATATGTCTTTTCCTCGATTTGATCAGTATAGAGTATAATGTATTATCTTACTCTATGGGGAAACATTGATCAAAGCCGTACAAAAGAGGTATGTATCTTACTGCAATAGAGAATTTTACTCTTCTCCATTCTGCTATTGTTAGCTACTCTATCATCAACGAGCAGCTTCTGCTTTCTTCTCTTGCTTGCCTGAAAGCTCTCGGTCAGAAATTTGGTCTGCATAAAGGAAGAACAGCCTCAGAGTCTCATGAAAAGGACTCTGCCAGGTATTTTTAACAGCTGATATTTCAAGGACTAGACTTAGGAGCTGACATCTCTTAGATAATTGTCAGAGGGATTCAGAATTCCCAGGACGCTTTTGAATTCAGTAGTAGATAATTTCATGAAAGCTGTTTGATGACTCAAGATCCAATGGAACAAGAATAAATTAATACTGAATGAACTCAAGAGGAACATCCAATTGTGATTATTTATTGTGGAATAAGGTTGGTAGAGTTTTTAGTGTTCCACTTTCTGATGGCTATATAAGAAAGCCCTTTCTTTTTCTTGTTGATCTATTTTTTCTTCTTTCTTTTTTTTTTTTTTTTTTTGTTGTTGTTGTTGCTGCTGCTGCTGCTGTTTAACATAGAGCCTTGCTCTGTCACCTAGGCTGGGGTGCAGTGGCACTATCTTGGCTCACTGCAACCCCACCTCCCGATCGCAAGTGATTCTCTCGCCTCAGCCTCCCAAGTAGCTGGGACTACAGGCATGTGCCACCATGCCCAGCTAATTTTTGTATTTTTAGTAGAGATTGGGTTTCATTATTTTGGCCAGGCTGGTCTCCAATTCAGGTAATCCACCTGCCTTGGCCTCCCAAAGTGCTGGGATTATAGGCATGAGCCACCGTGCCCAGCCTCTTTCTGTTTTAACTGTGGTAAACTATATATAACACAAAATTTGCCATTTTAACCATTTTTCAATGAACAATTTTGCATCATTAATTACATTCACAATGCTGTGCAATCATCATCACATGTATTTCCAGTTTTTTTTCATGACTCCAAACAGACTCTATATCCATTAAGTTATAACTCCCCATTCTCCCTGCCTTGCCTCCAGCCTCAGGTAAGCTCTCATCTGCTTTCTATCTCTATGAATTTGCCTCTTCTAGATATTTCACATAAGTTGAATCATACAATATTTGATCATTTTTGTCTGGTTTATTTCACTTAGCATAATGTTTCAAGGTTCATCCATGTCATACGCTGTGTCAGAATTTCCACCCCTTTCAAGGCTGAATAATCTTCCACTTATGTATATGCCACGTTTTGTTTACCCATTTATCTTTCTATGGACACGTGGGTTGTTTCTACCCTTTAGCTATTGTGAATATTTCTGCAAAGAACATTTGCACACAAGTATCTTTTTGAGTCCATTTTCAGTTCTTTAGGATATACATGTAGGATTAAAATTGTTAAATCATCTTCTTGATCCATGTCTAACCTTAGTTAATAACTATGCTTCTCTATCTTGTTCTCTCTGACCCATCAAAATTCAGAAACAAATACTTTTATTGAGTTTATTTGAATAGCAGTATAGATATTTGCAATTGGTTCATAAAAAGTTAATCATACTTTCTGTTAGAATGTAATTGAACAGATTGAATGTGTAATCTAGACCATCTATGGAGTGTCATATTTCAGAATACATCTCATTTAATCAGCTATAAGAAGCCCACAACTAAGGATCAAGGGTTGCAGCTTTTGGGTGGAATCAATGCCTTCAGAGTTTTCCCAGGAAATCAGTTTCTTGTCTGTTCTATGGCTTATAGGGTCTCAGCCTTATAGGTAGTATTACATGTCACTTCCTGGCAGGCCAGGAGGTTTAGGAGATTTGGAGACACCGCAGAGAGAGAAATTCACACAAATCTGAAGGTGCTGCAGGCAAAATCTGATGGAGATAAATTTCTTGGGTTTGGCATCTTAGCCTTATAATAGAACAAATACAGGCAATATTCTGTGTAATCTCTGGAGAATAGATTATTGAAAATTCAGGCCTAGGTGTCTTACAAAATTTTCAACAGAGCTCTTTTTCTGGATTTAATAGTTGCTTGACCCCATATGACTCTAGACTTGATGACCATACTAAAGCTTATATACGTTCATTAATACTGAATGCTATACCCATGAAAGCAGCCAAAATACAATGAGACCAGCCATTTTTGAACCAAGAATAATCCCTGGAGATAATTTATAAACACCGGGAGGAAGTATTAAGAACACACTCCACGAACTGGATATGGACAAAAGGGTGACTCATGTCCTTCCAAAATCACATCCAATGAATTAACTAACAAGGCTACCCAAGAATTATCTGATTCTCTAGAAGTATGTAACTTTAACAACACATTCACTATTAATGAGGGAATTTTACAAATCTCTAAGGATAGACTTCAGTCTATGCAAAAGTAGTAACAATGCAAGTGATTTTTGTTTTATGGCAATACAAAACGAATTTTGCCCTGTGGATAAGGGTTTCTGTAAAACGGTTTTTATCTGGTAGAGAAGACTTTATCTCAAGGGTGAGAGTTGTATTGCCTATAACTGTGACATTAACAAGTCTTCCGCATTAATCAGTTTTGTATGTGATATGGCATTCTTTCTTTCAGTGAGTCTAAATACTTCTGCCTCTCCTGTACTTCTTAGAGCTAACTCACCATCCTGTTGGTTTCCTTATTCATGAATTAAATCAATCTGTGGCATGCACTCACTTGAAAAACAAAAAAGAAAGGAAAAAGCTATAAGAGAATGGCAAATTAGACTAGCTGCATTCTTTCGTAAAAAAATCAAGAAATTCCAGATTATGTTGGAATAATTTCTTTAGAGTGCAGAGAAAATAGCTGTCAACTTAGCAGTTATACGTAGTTCGTATATCATTCCTGACTGAGCTAAAATAAAGCTATTCTCAGACACACAAAGATAGAGAGTTAACTACCTCTTTAAAACAACTATTAAAGGAAATATTTCAATGAGAAGAAAAGTAAACTTAGTAGGAATACATGTTTCTTTTTCTAAAAGAAATGGTGAAACTAAAGTTATAGGCAGCAATAACAAGAATTTTGGGGAATTAAAAGAGAGGGTAATACATATGAAAACCTTTTTTCTTCTGGAGAATGAAAAAATAATGAATATGTTTAGATTTGTTTACAAAATCTGTAGTTATCTGTATTTTTAAATTTTAAAGTTATTGAAAATGTTAGAGATGCCATTTATGGTTTCCAAACCAGCATAGAGAAAAATAAAGAAATAAAGAAAACTCTATTAATCCAATAGAAGAGAGGAAGAAAGAGGAAAGAGGCAAAGAAAAATAATACTAATTCAGACAGGCTAAATTAAATGTTGGAGATAAACATAAATACATCAATAATCATTAAAAAATGTAAATAAGCTCATCTATTAAGGAGGGATTATCAGATGGAATTTAATTCTGCTATATGGTGGTTTCAAGAGATCCTTAAAAAAAACTCACAGAGAGATTTAAAATAGAGTTACTGAACAAATACTCTAGGCAAATATGAAAATCAATAAAAAGCCAGTATAGTAAATTATTACCAAACAAAATAGAATTGAAGGCAAAATGTCAGAAATAAAGAGCTACACTGCATAAGAGCAAAGGGAAATTATCTAGCAATAAAGTATGAAAATCATGAAATTGCATGCACCTCCGCACATAGCTTCAAAACATGTAAAGGCAAAACTGACAGGATTATAATGCAAAATTGATACACTTCTATCAGACAGAAAGATCTAGTCAGGAAAATATTATTGAGGTTAAATATTTGAATGACAAAATAAACAAGCTTTAATCTAAAAGCAAACATAAAATATTTGTAAAAAAAGTGTTCTGCCTACTGGATCACAAAGGATATTATGATAAATGTCAAAGAACTGATACTGTTGAAACTACATTCTCTGATGACAATGCAATTTAATTGGAAATCAAACAATAAAGAAATGACTAAAATTGCATATGCCTGGATCTATCTTGGCCTCTTTTCCCCCATGAATTATGGAATAATTCATAGTTAAAGAAAATATTCACAATAAAATTAACAACATATTTGGAACAAAGCCTCATTAAAATCACTATTATATCAAAACCTATGAAATAGAGCTAAAATGTGACCTAAGTAGAAAACACATGGCTTAGATATATTTTGAAGAGAAATATTAACAATAAATGAACTAAGATTCAGTTCATGAATCTGAGGGAAAATCAGTAAATTCAAAGGTAAGAAGGAAGGAAATAATATATAAGAGCCAAAATTAATAAGATTGTTTGGACAATGTAAAGAACATTTCTAAGACAAGCACTTTTTAAAAACCAATTATATAGCACAAAAGGTCTAGCCACACTGATGAAGGAATAAAAAGAGAATACCAAAACAACAATTTTAGGAAAAAAGAAAGATATACATATAAATATATTTGAGACTTTTAAAGCCTAACAGAATATTGTCAATAATTTCATGCCAATAAATTTGAAAACTTGGTCAAGAGGTACAATTTTCTAGGAAAATGTAAATCACCAAAAGTTTTCTATAATTATAATGGTTCATAAACCATTACATAGATTTATTTTTAGTGTCTTCCCCCAAGCATAGATATAAAACCCAGATCAGTTAATAAGTATTTAATGAATACATAATTTTATATAATAGGTAATAAAATTGCAAACAATAGAAAAAAGGGAGACATTTTTCTAGATCTAAAGAAAATGACAAGAATAATTCAAGAAACAAAGATTATAGGCCAGTGCAGTGGCTCACACCTGTCGTCCCAGTACTTTGGGAAGCTGAGGTAGGTGGATCACTTGAGCCCAAGAGCTCGAGACCAGCCTGGGCAACATGGTGAAACCCTTTCTCTACCCAAAGGAATACAAAACTTAGCCAGGCATGGTGGTACATGCTTGTAGCCCCAGCTACTCAGGAGGCTGAGGTGGGAGGATTGCTTGAGCCCAGGAGGTGGAGGTTGCAGTAAGCTGAGATTGTGTCACTGCACTCCAGCCTGGATGACAGAGCAAGAACATGTCTCAAAAAAAAAAAAAAAAAAAAAAAAAAAAGGAAGATTATAGCTTAATATTATAGAAGTGATGTAAAATCATAAATATTAGAAAACATAATCTATTAAAGAATTATTTTAAGTCCATAAAATATAACAAAAAAACAGCATGACCAAGCATAATTTATCTCAGAAATGCAAGGATAATTTCATATTAGGAAAAAAAATACAGCTGTATTAATAGAATCATGTCATCTACAAACAGGGATTGTTTGACTTTCTCTCTTCCTACCTTAATGGCCTTTATTTTTTCCTCTTGCCTGATTGCTCTGGCCAGGACTTCCAATACTATGTTGAATAGGGGTGGTGAGAAAGGGCATTCTTGTCTTGTGCTGGTTTTCAAGGGGAATGCTTCCAGCTTTTTCCCATTCAGTACGATGTTCGCTGTGGGTTTGTCATATATAGCTCTGCTTATTTTGAGGCATGTTCCTTCAATAGTTTATTGAGATTTTTTTAAGTGAAGGAATATTGTACTTTATCGAAAGCCTTTTCTGCATCTATTGAAATAATCACGTGGTTTTTGCCTTCAGTTCTGTTTATGTGATGAATCGCATTTATTGATTTGCATATGTTGAATCAACCTTGCATCCTGGGGATGAAGCCTACTTGATCCTGCTGGATTAGCTTTTTCATGTGCTGCTGGATTTAGTTTTCCAGTACTTTGTTGAGAAATTTTGCATCAGTGTTTTTCAAGGATATTGGTTTTCTTTTCAAGTTTTCTTTTTTTGTTGTGTCTCTGCCAGGTTTGGGTATCAGGATGATGCTGGCCTCATAGAATGAGTTGGGGAGGAGTCCCTCCTCCTCAAGTTTTTGGAATAATTTCAGTAGCAATGGTACCAGCTCTTCTTTGTATACCTGGTAGAATTTGGCTGTGAATCCAACTGATCCTGGGCTTAATACATGCACACAAATGTTCATTGCAGCACTGCTCACAATAACAAAAACATGGAATCAACCTAAATGCCCATAAATAGTAGACTGATAAAAGAAAATGTAGTACATATACACCATGGAATACTATGTGGCCATAAAAAAGAACGAGATGATGTCATTTGCATGAACATGGATTGAGCTGGAGGCCATTATCCTTAGCAAACTAACACAGGAACAGAAAACCAAATACTGTATATTCTCACATATAAGTAGGAGCTAAATGATGAGAACACATGGACACAATGAGGGGAACAACAGACACGGAGACCTACTTGAGGGTACAGAGTTGGGGGAGGGAGAGGAGCAGAAAAAATAACTAATGGGTACTAGGCTTAATACCTGGGTGATGAAACAATCTATTCAACAAACCCGCATGACATGAGTTTACCTATATAACAAAACTGCACCTGTACCCCTTAACTTAAAATAAATGTTTTTTTAAAAGGAAAAAAAATAACTCATTACTAGGTTGAGCAAGAAAAACTATTTGACCATCCAAATAAAGGAAAAATAAATTTTAATCAAATCCAATAGCTCATTAATAATGACTACTCTTAATATACTAAAAACAGCCTGTTTTAAGTCTCAAGGATTTTTTTACCAAAAACCTACAGCGAATCTTACAGATAATGGTGACACTTTAAAAACATTCCCTGCTATCACTATTTTTATTGTACATGGTACTAGAAGCTTATTATTGCAAAAACAATAATAAACAAAAAATAAATATGTAAAAACTGAAAAGGAAAAACTACAGTTTTTATTACTTACAGATAATGCAATTATCCACATCAACAACCCAAGAAAATTTGCAAACACATCATTAAAACCAATAAGAAAGTTCATGAAAATTTCTGGATTCAAGATCATCATGTAAAAGTTGTAGTTTTTCTCTGCAGTAGAATATTTTCTTAATACAATAAATAAAAACAGACACATAAAATTCTGCTCCATAACTAACTTATTATTTCTACCTGGAAGCCTACAGGCTTTTATTCTTTATTATCTATGTTCATGAATATTGCCAAGATGTGCTTGGATATCTTTTTTTCTCCTCAATTCTCTTTGGAACTGTGAGCCTTTTGAATCTTAAGATTAATTCTTCGCTTAGCTTATGGATATTTTCTTTTAGTATTTGTTTAGGAATATGGCATATCTAATATTTACACATTAAGTCCCCTGGATCTATGCCTGTCTCTTTTCCCTCATGATTTCTGTCTCTTTATAGCTTATTTTAAAGTCAGAATAATTAGGACAGCATGATATTAAATGTAGTGATAGAATTATAGATAATTGTAATAATAGAGAAGGGTAAGTAATAAACTCATCTATTTGGGACTTCAATATATGACAGTGGGATCAGTCCACCAGTGGATGAGATTAAACATTTTAAACTTCGATATCAATTTTAGCTAAAACTGAAAGAGAAATTAATCTTGACCAATACTTAATACGCAAACTGACATTGGCATCCTTACCAGGTCTTTATTTCAGTAGACAAGGTCATTTACAATGGAAGTATGATAACACAGAGGAATTGCCCTCACTACCACACACAGACCCTTAAAATATTAACTTTACAGAGATGACCCCACATATAAAGTACATTCACCATATCATTTACAGGAAGATTATTGCCGCAAAGACATTGAGGCCAGAAATGCACAAAGTGCTGCAGATTGTCCACAATGTGGTTAATGTTATTAAAATAAGACCTTTTAAAAGACAGTTGGAATTTTACAATATTTCATAACAAAATAGGCAAGAGACTAGACAAATCTGTTGTTCTACAAAGAGATTCATTGTTTAGCTGTGGCAATTTACTTAAAATAATTGTCAAATTTACAGATGAGCTACACATTTTCTTTTACTACATGACAAGTGTTTCCAGTTTTCTGACCTTGTCTATGATAAAAATCAGCTGTAAGTAGTTTGCTACCAAAATAAGTGTTTCCAAAAGAAAAAAAAATCACATTTAACATGCCCCTTAAGCAGCGAGATTACTTTGAGACAACAGTTGGAAACAAAGACTGCTTTTCAAAACTCAGGCTACGGATTAAACATTTTGCAAACACATATTTGGGTATGTTTCATCATTGTGCAATTTTATTACAACAATGCAGGTATATAATTATAAAATTTATCACATATTTATACTTAACACTGTAGAAACCTAATTTTCTAACTTGTTTAACAATTCTACAAATGAGACATTTTTATGGGTTTTATGATGGACAGAGTCCATATTATCAGAGTCTAGTGGGAAAGAGAGGTGAGTACTGCAAAATTTGATAAGTGCCATGTGAGTACGGAATTCAGTCTAATTCAGCAACAAGAGGGAAATAAAGCTGAATCTAAGAGACACATATGAAAAGGTATAGTAGAGGAGGAGTAGTGAAGAAAGTGTGATGGGGAAAATTTAAGGTTCACCCAAATGTACCAGGGCATAGCAGGTCCTCTGGTTTTAGAAGAAATTTTGCTTCTCCTGTTTCTACGTCATAGAACCTGGTGGCTTTTCAACTGGAAACTGAGGTTGGCAATGTCACCGAAGGAGACATGAGAAAAGAAGGCAGCTGAGGTCAAAACCAGGTTCAGATGTAGGTCAGCCTCCTCTCCTCCATTTCTTTCCCATCATCTTAAAACACTCTCTTTGCCTTTAGTCTTCTATTCCTTAACATATTCCACACATGCATCAGGATCATCAACTTGACCAAGAACAGCTGTATTTTCTCATCACTCTATTTTTGTAGCAATTCCTTACAAATGGTTGATGAGAAAAGTCATATCTAAGATTGACATTCGGATGTAGGAAGATACCTCTCTCCCCATGCTCCAGCCTAGGGTACCAGACAGCTCTCTTTGTGGAATTTGTTGCTGAATTCCTTTGTCATTGCTCCTGTATACCGCATCCAGAAACCTCTTGGGGATAAGAGGCTGTCACCTTTGGGTCCCTGGCCCAGGAGTTTTCAAACCTTAGTGGGCACAGAGATCAATCTGGGAGCCTTGCTAAATACATATTCCAATGCACTAGGTCCAAAGTGAGAAATCGATTGTGCACTTCTTAACAAACTTCCAAAGTAACCAAGGCTCTCAGCCAATTCACAGCCTTCCAAACTCTCCCCAATTTCCTGAAATAAGAAAGTACCCGATTCCTTTCAATTAAATGACTTTAATCCAAGAAGACATTTATACCACCTGTTATGGCTAAATTGTATACTCCCCAAATTCATATGTTGAAGGCCTAACCCCCAGTACCTCAGAATATGACTGTGTTTGGAGATAGGGTCTTTAAAGAGGGGATTCAATTAAAATGAGGCTGATAGGCCGGATCCTAATACAATCTGATTAATATTCTTATAAGAAGATTTAGACAAACTAAGAGACACAGGGATATGCATGCACAGAGGAAAAACCAAATAAGAACACAGCAAGAAGGCCAGGTGCGGTGGCTCATGCCTCTAATTCCAGCACTTTGGGAGGCCAAGGCAGGTGGATCACTTGAGGTCAGGAGCTTGAGACCAGCCTGGCCAACATGATGAAACCCCATCTCTACTAAAAATACAAAAATTAGCTGGGCATGGTGGCGGGCATGTGTCATCCTAGCTACTCTAGAGGCTGTGGCAGGAGAATCACTTGAACCCAGGAAGTGGAGGTTGCAGCGAGCCAAGATCACACTGCTGTGCTTCAGCCTGGGCAACAGAATGAGACTCTGTCTCAAAAAAAAAAAAAAAAAAAAAAAAAAAAAAAAAAAAAAAACAAACAAAAAAGAACTCAGCAAGAACACAGCCATCTGCAAGCCAAGAAGAGAGACCTCAGAAGAAACCAAATATGCTAGCACCTTGATCTTGGACTTCTAGCTTCCAGAACTGTGGAAAATAAATTTCTGTTGTCTCTGCCACTCAGTCTGTGAAATTTTGTTATGGCAGCCTAAGGAAATTAATATACCCATGGTATTAAAAGAATTTGCATACCATCAGTGTTTATAGTCTTTGAGAAGTAATGAAAATAGTACAGGTACCTGCAAGTTGGAAATAGGCACTTTCAAAATAGTCCATTTGACTTTCAAAAATGGGAAAATGGGAACAGTATGAATTCCAAAAATTACAGATGGGTACAGTCGAAATGAATTCCCTTGACAAAATTTTGGACAAGATTGTTAAACAGGTGGTTGGTGAGCTCTTAGACAACAGAGCCATAGTTACTAAAGAAAAGCTATGTTCACTGAGACTAAGTCAAGCTGAGCTAACTTCCCTTCTTGTATTGATAGGGTAGTAATGGAGATCCTGAGAAGGCCACAGCCATACTGAATCCAGATGGAAATAGGATATTGGAGAGAAGGCTGCGATATGATCCTTCAGGGAAAGATAGAAAAATGGGGACTGAACATGATTTGGCATTGAGTGAATTTCAGGCTCACTGAAATCCACGACCCTGTGGTGTTAAGGAAGCATTGTAAATGAGAAGACCAGGACCCACAGTTAGCCCATAACAATGACTAGTAAAAGCTCTCACTAATTGCATGCATGCAAACACAGAAATCATGTGTGGCAAAGATTGCTCATTGTCTGCCAGTAATGATTTTCCCCTTCTTTCAGATAATAGAATTTTTAGCTGAGCAGATGAACATACAGGAAAAAAAAAAAAAGACCACTTTTCTCAGCCTTCTTTGCAAGTTGGCCTAGCCATGTGACTAAGTTCTGTGCAAAGCTCTGTGGATAAGAACAAATGTGATGTTGTTCTGGGGATCATGTCCTTAAAATGCAAGCTTACCCCCTTTCACTTTTTGGCCCCTCTTATTCACTAGAACGTGAATGTGTTGGTGAGCTGGGTTGGCCCTAGGGATGGCTGAGAATTAAGACAGAAGGCCCCTGGATTTCTGACCTCATGAAGCCTTCCTTCTAGCCTTAGACTGTTAACACGCAGGCAGTTAAGAAAGAGAAGTAAACTTCCATCTTGTTTAAGCCGCTGTTAAGCCACTGGTATGCTGAGTCTTGGTCTGAGCACCTGAACCTACATCCTAAGTAATTGAGTGTGTTTATCTGATTGGCAGAGGACATTAAGCTGGGAGGATAACCAATATGGTCTGCATCAATCAGAAAGCCAAGAAAATCTTAATAGGCTGGAATAAAGAGCCTAACCTCACATGGTGCATTTTAACAGCCTTGCATTTATGTTAAAATAATCAATTGCATAATAAAGTGTAGGAAGATCCACCATAAAAGAAGTTCGTGTGTTTAAAAAAAGGGTGGGGGGAGATTTTCACTGACTTCAAAGCTCAATATGGGCACAGCCTTAGACTGCAGTAAGCAAATGTGATGTCCCCGTCAATGACATTAAGAGCCCTCCTTGTTCCATTCTGATCGGACCACACAGGAAAGCAGCCAGAGGGTGAAGCAAAGTGAAGTGAAAACTGCGTGATCCCTTTACTGAATGGGCTGATCTCCATGGGCACACACACAAAATTGATTTATTTTCTCCCACATAGACTTCAAACACACTAGGCTGAATTTCTGCCTTCACTACCACTTGACATCTCACACAAATTCCACAGTTTTAGCGTGACTTTTACTTATAACCACAGTATCATTTTGATTTTCTTTTTGTTTTTGTTTTTTGGAGATGGACTCTTACTCTGTCACCCAGGCTGGAGTGCAGTGATGCAATCTCAGCTAACTGCAACCTCTGCCTCCCAGGTTCAAGCAATTCTCCCACCTCAGCCTCCCGAGTAGCTGGGACTACAGGCACCCGCCTCCATCCCCGGCTAATGTTTGTATTTTTAGTAGAGATGGGGTTTCACCATGTTGGCGAGGCTGGTCTTAACTCCTGACCTCAGGTGATCTGCCCACCTCGGCCTCCCAGAGTGCTGGGATTACAGGTGAGCCACCTTGCCCAGCCCATAGTCTCATTTTGATTATTCAAAATAATTTTCAGGCTTGAAGAAGGACAGTTGTGAGGGAGATGTTTCACCATATGCCTTTGATTTTTGAACCATACGAATGTATTATCTGGCAACACAATTAACCAAGTAAACTTTTAAATTCCACTATAAATCAGAAATTCAATATCACATTCAATTCAAACCTGCTCCCCTCCCCCAGTTCAGTTCAGCTCATGGCTCGAGGTGGCAAGGAGGAGGGAATGATCTGTTCTAGCACTTTCTCTGCTGGCTCTTCCCATCCTCTACTCCTACTCACTCTGCTTCTTCAGGCAGAGCAGGTCAGGACAGCCATGGAGAGAAGGAGAAATCAAAAGTTTTTTCGTTTAGCTGGAGCCGTGGGTGTTCTCTCTTGGTGAATGCCAGCTGGCTCTCCTGTCCTTTGTGGCAGGAGTTCAAGTGCCCACCCACTCACAGAGCTGATGATATAGGGCCTTCTTGGTGACCCTCAGAAGAATCTCTAAGCTGCACATCTCCATGGCCTGGTCACGGGCTCCCCCAAATGTTTATTAGCCTCCCTCCAGTCCTAATACCTATGATAGAGCCCACAGACTGACTATCACTGCCCACTTGAGAAAGGGCTATCAGGTTGGTGCACCCCATGCCCATCTGTGGTCCATGTCCAGGACACAGTTTTGGCCTTTCAGACATGAGGAAGACAGGCCACTGTCACTGTTGCCCTCTCCTCCCACTCTTTGACAACAGGCAGACTCCACAGTCTCCGGGCCTCAGTCTCCTCCAGTCAGGAAGCAACCACCAGTCTCCATGTTCATACATCCTCCTGGGCTCCAGAGGACCAGTGTCATGCTCCTTCAAGATCACCCTCACTGCCCCCTGCTTGGATGCTCCAGAGCAAGCCTGAGAGTTTCTGCCACTCCCTGTGCCAAGCTCACCTTCTAACAGACACCGCAAACTCTGTGAGCTAATCTTGGATTCTCTCAAAATTGTTTTGGGGACACCCTTTTGTTCCCTATGGAAAAGGAAGGAGAAAAGCCAAATATTTCACCTTAAGTCTGCGGATCCCTATGTGATTCCATTCAGTTGTCTCTTTGAACTCTGCTGGACGTGAAGACAGAGGATCCATGTCTTCGCCCCTTATAAAGTCCTGCAAGCATATGTCTGGCAGCTCTTCCTTAGAACGTGAGGGGATTTGGGACTTGAAAGAGACTGCTAATTGTCCCTAAAATATGTTTCCCCTTCTTTCATGTAACAGACTTTTAGCACTTAGCTAAATGTACACGGTTGCCCAACAAGTAACTTTATTTCCCTCACTTCTTTGCAGCTAAGGTTCTGCAAATTTAGATCTAATAATGAGATGAGCTTGCATGAGACTGGAAGGTAGGAGATAGGTATGGACATTCTTCTGGCTATTGCAGCTGGCTAGAGAACGATTTCTTGGTAGTTCCCCAGATTCATCTTTGCCTGGATGTCGTTGCTTCATTTCAGCATTCTTTCCCACCTGGAGAGGCAGGGAATTTTCAAAACCATCAAGTCTTCCTCCTTTGTGATTAACAGTCTTTCCTTTCACTTCTCTGTCTCCTCTTGCATTTTAGTGTGAGCAACAAAAAGGAGCCAGAAGGCACCTTCAAGGTCTGTTTGAAATCCCCTAAGCTATTGGCAACCCCCTTCATTAGGCACACTTTTTGCGGTCTTGGTAACACAGGCGGCACCATGGCTAAATGTCCTGCCTCTACACAAGTGCAGTTTCCAGATGGGTCTTCCTCACTTTCCTTCAAGTCCTCACCACAGCCTCCAGGCCATCATGTTTCTATGAACAACTTCTTCAAAGCTCTTCAAATTTTCTCCTCTACTGTCCAGTCTCAAAGCCACGTCCACATTTTAGGTGTTCGTTACAGAAGCAACCACTTCCAATCACCAAAATCTGACCTCAATATCTATCACTGTGTCATAAATTACCCCCAAATGGAGTGGCTTAAAACAACAAACACTTTATATGTCACAGATGCTTTGGGTCAGGAGTTCAGGAGCCACTCAATGGAGTGGTTCTGGCTCAAAGTCTCTCATGAGTTTGCAGTCAGGAGGTCAGCAGGAAAGGAAGCAGCCATCTCAGAGGCTGGTGGGCCTTCCCTGCATAATTTCAAGATGGCTGCCCAGCGTGGCTGCCAGTAGGAGGCCTCAGCTTTCACAAATGGACTCCCCATGATTCTAAGGCCAGGGCAAGGAAAATACAAGGTGATCCTGGAATATGTTATGTTATCAGAAAGTAAGAAAGTACCCCCCAAGAATGTGTTTCTAAGATGAAGGCATGTCAAAAGGACCCAAGAATCTATCTGAAAAAGCTCCCAGTGGCCAGAGTTAATATAATTTGAGCACCATAATAAATTTCGATTGTATTGAATTATCACCTAAAGAATAAAATAAATATCCATGAGCACATACTGATATAAATAAACAAATAAATAAACCAAAGAAGAAAGACCAATCTTTCTTACATAAGAAATCCAATCAATAAACGTAGAGGGAATCGGAGAAATAGAGAATTGTCATTGGAACACCACAGCTATCCTTGCTGCATGCAAGACTAATTGATACTTGCTAAAATTAGTGGTTGAACTTTAAGAAGTAACAGGATATTTGCATCATATTTGTATCCCTTTCTAAATTTACTAATCACTCTTATGGTTTTAAAACATGACTTTGATACTCTTTACCTCCCTCCAGGAGGTAGAGTTTAATGGCCCTTTCCTCAAGTATAGGCTGGACTTAGTGACCTGCTTTTATGAATAGATGACAGAAAGGGAAAAATTGTTACTTGGCAGTGGGGAAACCTAACAGACATCACATTAGCCAGGTGATCAAAGTTAATGTTACCTGCAGTCATGCTGATATTATACACCCACTGACATGATACAATGAGAAGGGCCTGTCACCTCTGTGGTGGTGTTCTCCAAAATCCACAGCCTCAGAATGTTTATGAGAAACCACCAGATAAACCCAAATTAAGGGCGTTCTACAAAACACCTGACCACTACTCTTCAAAACATCTAAAGTCATGAAAGACAAGAAAATACAGAGAAGCTATCACAGATTGGTGGAAACTAGGGAGACATGATGAATAAAGGTATCATGATATCCCAAAAAGGGTCCTGGAACAGAAAAAGTACATTAACAGGAAACGTTGAGAAGTCCAAATAAAGTTGGTAGTTCACTTACAATATTGCACCATTGTCAATGTCTTGGTTTTGATAAACATACTATGTAAGATGTTAACATTAGGGGAAGTTGGGTGAAGGGTGTATGGGAAGACCCTGTACTATCTTAGAAACTCTTTATTCTAAAATTATTTCAAACTAAAAAGTGTTTTAGAATAGGTAGAGTTGCAAATAATTTGGTGAGTGGTGCAGATGGAGGTATCTCTTACCTGTGAGGTAATAAGCCAAGTAATTGCTGAGAAAAATGTGGGTGGGAGAAAGTGGCAGCAGGGGGCCTTTGTTATGACTTGCCTGAAGGTCTATACTACGTTAGAAAAAATTATCAAAAATGACCACACTGTGCTGTAATGGTGCCATGTCTCCATGTATCTGCCAACTCTGCATTCTCTGGGCTTGCTGTAGTGATGGGAGGGATTCAAATCCTCCTCTTCAGCAAAAGGAGAAGTTTCCCAATGGATGGTCTGAGACAGGAAGGGATGTCCTTTCCCTGGGCTGAACATGGATTCCAATGCCCCACTATGTGATGCCAACAAGCATCATGTCTGGCCACTGAATTCCAGGATCTTAGGTTTAACCATAAAATGCTTCTGTCTCATGGGCTGCAAACCACCAACATAGAACTAAGATTGATAAGAAAAATACACTGTTTACTCAAAACAGGTATATACCAGCCTACCTATTTATAATGTCCTATTACATGGTTGTACAGTTCGTATCCTCAATAATTCAGTAGGTATCTCACTAATATCTATTTGAAATCCCCCTAAAAATAACATTTAGCAGTAGCTTCATGATCTCTCTAGAATGTGTCTTTATTTTTCTTAAACATTTGATATGTTATACCACCCAGGCGGAAAATAGAACACAGAGTGTAGGATACACACATACTCACCACAAAAACAACCATATTGTAACAGCAAAATGTATTTATAAAATTGGTCAAGGAAATTGAATTTAACATATGCTGTTATCATACAAGTATTTTTAATGAAATAACATTTTGTATTTATATAGCACCTTTCTACTAAGGAGCAAAAATATGGCTCAGATATTATTACTCATTCTCACACCATCCTTGACAGGTGGATAAGTAGCAACATTTAAACCAAGTTTTAATCACTGGGAAACAAAGACATGCACAAAAAGAGCAAATAAACCACAAATGGTAACCCAGAAAGTTGGCATTTTCCACCCCCCAATGCCCACCGTGGTCCACTGACTCTTTTCTTCTCAAATCTTAAAAGCTACTTTGAATAGTGGTGAAAAAAAATACAGGAACAGTAGAGGGATAAAATAGGTATATACCAGCCTACTCGGGAACCTGCTGGTGGAACTTAAGACTGGAAACTGTTGAAAGTTAAAAACAGTTCCCAAACCTTGAGCATCTACTCAGACAAATTTAATGTGTACCAGGGACAAATGAAAGTATCCTTCCAAAATATGACCCAAATTATTGTCAAGCCTTTCTATAATAAAGGCCCATTCCTCAAGCAGCTGTCACATAACGTGAAGGTGATCAACAGCAAATCCATTAGCAACACAGGATAAAGAAATTTGAGTAGCCCAGAAACTCTTGCATAAAACATAACGTCAGCAAGATAGGAAATTCTGGATGATGCACTCCTGAGGAGCGCTTTAAAAAATCATTCAAGGAAATTAAAAAAAAAAAGTCTCTTTAAAGATAAATGCAAATTACAGACATAGTTGGAACCTAAAAGTATGTCTTGAATAAGAAAATTACCAGAGGATGAATTTCTTAAAAGCATGACTGTCTTTTAAGAGTTTCTAATATATTTAATCTCCAGTAAACTCTAGGATATCCAAAGGTGTGGTACTTTTTTTTTTCCAGAATATGCAGTGTCTGAGAAACTTTTATCACATCTATCCATGTAGTCAACTAATGTCAGCAAAACCAGACGGGAAATCATATATAAAGGGAAGTATGAAAATATTTTATTGTAAACTTCTGAGTCATAGGGATAAGGAAAGAAAGTTACATTATATTCTAATAACAAATTTTAATAACGTGAAAAAAGAAAAATAACAGCCAACACTTATTGAGCACCTCTGTGCGCTAGTATGGATAACGGTGCCAGGCACAATAGATGCCGTATCTCATTTCCTCATCACAAGCCTCCTTTGAGATATACCCATTTTATAGACTTAGATTAAGACACTTGTCAGAGTTCAGGGTACAAGCAGCTGTCTGACTCCAAACCCTTTATAGATGCTGCCTGGCTTTTTCTCTAGCCCTTTACTTCTTAATTAGTGCAGAGAACCAAGTCTTGCCTTTCATTTCTTCCCCTGCACCGAAGAAAAATCTAAAAGCCATCCTTTTGTAACGCTGAAAACTTGGAATCAAAAATCCATTAAAATGTTATCTATAGAAACACTCCCAAAGCTTCATAGCAAGAGATTCAGATAAAAGCACATATTTTCTCTACTTTGATGTGCATAAGTTTAAACTCCATGACTCTTATTTTGATCTTCATCATTCCCTATTTGACTGATTTTTAACCTATCATCTTACACCATGGAGTGGCAAATACTATCAAGGAATCAAAAAAAGGCAACTCCTTCAACAATCTAATTTATATGAAATATAGTAAATTACAATGATGCCTCTTTAATTAATCAAATTAATTAGTTAATTGATAAATTTAATTAATTAGTTAATTAACTAATGTCCCTGGTGGGCAAAGTTTTCTTAACCAGAGAGCTTCCTGGCCCACAGAGGAAAGGAAAAAGTAATGATCCTTCAGCTGTTTCTGAACTTCAGGACAGTCGGAGGCCCAGCTTCAGAGATCATGTCTTCTGCGAAGTCACAAGGGAAATTACACCTTCAAGAATGCACTGTGTGAGCCATATCCTTGACTCCCATGAATCAATTAGGAAAGGGCTATTGCTATAAATAAGCAAATAAGACTGGTCGTCAAGAAATTGGTCCTCCAGGTTTGACTTTTCTTTTCTTCTCCGCGACTGAACAGATTTACTTTTTTTTTTTTTTTTTGAGACAGAGTCTCCCTCTGTCACCCAGGCTGGGGTTCAGTGGCACTATCTCAGCTCACTGCAACTTCTGTCTCCTGGGTTTTTAAGCAATTCTCCTGCCTCAGCCTCCTGAGTAGCTGGGATTACAGGCACCCGCCACCACGCCTAGCTAATTTTTGTATTTTTACTACAGAGGGGGTTTCACCATGTTGGCCTGGCTGGTCTCAAATGCCTGACCTCAGTTGATCCACCCGCCTTGGCCTCCCAAAGTGCTGGGATTACGGGCATGAGCCACTGTGCCCGGCCCAGATTTACTTTTAATCTCATGAGATGCTGAGGACTAAGACCTCCTCCTTCCCAGGGCCCAAAGCAAGAAAATGAGGTTGAGAAGAGGCCCATCTCCAGAGATCTTACCCTTGGAATAAGGGTCTTTTTCCCATACCTCATTGACATCTATTCCCACTGGGCTGTTTTTATTTTCCTACCCCACACTCTGTCAGCTTTAAAGCACTAAAGAACTTTTTGGCCACCTCAGGACAAAAATGTGTTACAAAAGCCACCTCCCAAATGGAATTAGCTCAGCCTAACTAAGTAAATCAGGCTTTGGACAGGCTCTGCTTCCTGTTGGTTGTTCATACATTTGTGTTGCTCAAGTCATCTTAGAACCCAACTCCGCCTTGCTGGATTCATGATGGAATTTCTCTTTGCACCTGAACAACTCTTCAGGAAACTTCTCCTTTTAATTTTGAAGAATGTAATACCTTTCTGTCAGAAAAGGTGTCCAGGTCTTAGATTCACACTCAAGCCATGAATAATACTCTTCTGGGCATACATAAACACATGATTTCCCCAAATTCTCCTTCTCCTAGCACAGAGATCTTCCCTTCTTCCTCCTTCCTTCCCTTTCCCTAGCTTTCTTTCTAATTCGCACCTTTCCTGACATTTGTTTACTTGCTCGACCTTCTAAAAAATGTTTATTTAACGAACGTCTTCTATGATCCAGGCACTGAAGTAATCGACACAAAGGTGAGTAAGACACAGTCCTTGCCATAAGACGTTCATGCTCCTATGAAGCAGACCAATTATCAGACCATTACAGCACATGGCGGAAAGGCAGAGATAGAGTTAAGCCCAGGGCATTACAGGGCCCTCAAAAAGAGCAAGTCCCCTGCTGGGGACCCAGTCTCTTTCTCCTCACTCTTCAGGTTCTATGTGTTTTCAGGGTTTTGTTTCCTTGAAGTGTTTAAATAGTTTCCTTTCTAGCAACCGCCCCCACAGAGAACGAGGTAGACCTTCACAACTCCCAATCTGAATCATCTTATTACTTCCCGGCCAGCGACTCATATACTCTCAGACTCATCAACTTCTCATTATCCATACTACCACATACAACAGAATATCTAAAACCCCTAGAGCCCAACCCACTCCAGTCCATGTTTGAGTTTTCCAAATCCACATACCATTTGAAGAAGTTGAATTTTCCATGCAGTGTGTTTTGAAATCAACAGACATATACTTAATCCTTTTGCCTCAATTTCTGATCATCATAAAGACGGGAAAAACGAAATCCTCAGTTCATTTTAATTCTCTTAGTCCCTAATGTGATATTCCATGTGCACCCTCAATGACTGGCCTCTCTTTTACCTATCTGGTTTTGAATTACATTGGCTAACTTCAGAAAAATCATCTTGACTAAATTGTCTCTGAAAGTAATTGAGGCAGAAGATATATGCAGTCCCTCAGCAATTGTTTTAGCTGCACTGTCAGTTTTGAAATAAACAGCCTAATAAGAGGTCAGATACATGGGTTTTAAAAGCCTATTTATCATACAGTATTCAAAACCTTTAATCATTTTATAAGCCTCGCATTAAATGTCAGTTGTCATTCTCTTTCTCATCATGATTATTTAACAAACCAAAATACCATTATGTTGTTCCTTTTCTAGAAAACAAAATTGCTTGAATGTGAAAGAAATAAAGCTACAGAGAGACAGGGCTGGCGCGGGGGATCTGGACCTAGAGAACCAGCTTCAAATTCTGCTCCACCACCTATTTAGTGTGTGATTCGAAGCCAGTTATTTAAGTTCTTTGAGCTTCAGTTCCTTGATCTATTCAAGGAAGATAATAATAATCTCTACCTCACAAGTGTTTTCAAGGATGAGCCCACACCCATCCTTGAGTGAATCATCACCTTGGTGGTCTCCAAGGCATCCCCCTCCCCACCCCACCCCACCCCCGGCCGGCCCTCCTTTCTGAAGCAGCCTTTCTCACCCTGAGCTGCCCCACCCTCCAAGTTTCCTCCTGCTCTGGGCTCTCCTAAGTCTCTGGGCTATGGCCCACACAGACTGGAGTTCTGGTATCTCAGTCCTGGTCTTCATTCTCATTTCGTAGCCTCTCTTTAAGACAGCTCATCCATACTGGCAGCTTCCATTTTCAGATGCTTCCAATACTTCATTTGAATATCAGACCTTTATAGGCAACTATTTACACCATACCTCCTTTTGGGGGTATCTCCCACTCAACAGGTCTAAATGAAGTTCAAGTCCTCTCCTAAATCTAGCTGGCTTCCCATGTTCTCCTTCTCAGCTAGTGGCACCGCCACTCATTCAGCAGTGCGAGCCAGACACCAAAGAGCCATCCCAGACCCCTCACCTTCCCTCCAACCACAGCCATCACAAGCCCTGTCCATTCTCCCTCCTAAAGAGCTCAGAAATATGCCTTCGGAACTACATCCTCATTGGACCACCCCAATCTGAGGTACATCCATCTATTTCCTAAGCCATCTCATTGTACTCACTGCCATGCCGCAGCAGAGTGCCCTTCTCAATGCACAGATGTTGTGGTGTCATTCCACTGCTTCTGTCTTCTCACAGCTCTGCATTAATCTAAGGGTCAAAATTAAAATCTTTTTTTTATTTATATAAATGTATGGGGTTCAAGAACACTTTCGTTACATGCATAGATTGCATGATGGTTAAGTCAGGGCTTTTACATATTTATCATCCAAATAATGCACATCGTACCCATTAAGTAATTTCTCATCCTCCACCCCCTCCTGCTCCCTCATCCTTCCAAATCTCCATTGTCTATCATTCCAATCTCTATGGCTATTTGTACACATTTTTTCACTTCCACTTATGAGTGGAAATATGTGTATTTGTCTTTCTGTATCTGGGTTGATTTGCTCAAGATAATGGCCTTCAGTTCCATCCATGTGGCTGCAAAAGACATGATTTCATTCTTTTTTATGGCTAAATAGTATTTCATTGTGTTTATATGCCACAATGTCTTCATCCAATTTAGGATATTTAGGTTGATTCTATATCTTTGCTATTGTGAATAGTGCTGCAATAAACGTAAAAGTACGGGTATCTTTTTGATATATTGATTTCTTTTCCTAGGGGTAGATGCCCAGTAGTGGAGTTGCTGAATCAAATTGTATTTCTCATTTTTGGTTCTTTGAGAAATCTCCATACTGTTTTGCACAGAGGTTGTACTAATTTACATGCCCACCAGCAGTGTTGAAGAGTTCACTTTCTCCATATCCTCACCAACATCTGTTCGTTTTTGTCTTTTTAATAATAGCCATTCTAGCGTTTGTTTTCTTAGTATTGAGTTGTTTGATTTCCTTATATATTTTGGATATTAGCCCCTTTCATATGTATGGTTTGCAAATATTTTCTCCCATTCTGCAGGCTGTCTCTTCAACCTATTGATTATTTCCTTTGCTGTGTAGAAGCTTTTTAGTTTAATTAGGTCCCATTCATCTGGTTTTTGTGTGTGTGTGTCAGCGCGGGGGATGGAGTTTTGCTCTTGTTGCCCAGGCTGGAGTGCAATCGCACAATCTCGGCTCATGCAACCTCTGCCTCCTGGGTTCAAGAGATTCTCCTGCCTCAGCCTCCCAAGTAGCTGGGATTACAGGCACACACCACCATGCCCAGCTAACTTTTTTGTATTTTTAGTAGAGACAAGGTTTCACCATGTTGGTCAGGCTGGTCTCAAACTCCTGACCTCAGGTGATCTGCCTGCCTCAGCCTCCCAAAGTGTTGGGATTACAGGCATGAACCTGTTTCTGTTTTTAAATCCTTAGGGAGATGTACATGACCTCACAGGACCTGACCCTGGCTCCCGGCCAGCCTCATCTCCCATGGCTTTCCTGTCCCTGTACTACCTCGCTTCCTTCCCCTTTAGCCTCAGTTCAAGTTCACATCTTCAGGATGGTAGTCTATCACCCCTTACCCCAGTTTAGACCATCTGCTAGGCATTCCCACCTCACCGCTTGATTTTCTTTTAGGGCATTTAGCACATTTGCTGTTGTATGACAATGTGGGCCTTTTCATCAATGGCAGTCTCCCGTGCAAGAATGTATAATCCAGTACGGCAGGACATAGCTATATATTGCTTATCCATGAATTCCCAGTGGCAAGCCCCAGTAGAATTTCAATATGTATATAGTGAGTTATTAAAAAGCGATTTATTAAGTTATTAATTACTTTTTAAATTAATTTTTTAACTTAAACTTTTTAGCCAAAACCAAGAATACCTATTTAATAAAAAATAAAGGGCCTATGTACATGCTCCTAGTACACATTAATTCATCAAAGGATAATAAAGAAGAAAACCTGGAGTCAGAGCCGATTGTGCTCTGCTAACAAATAACAATCTTGACAGGACCTTAGGAGGTCAACATCAGCCAGCACCCATTTTGGATACAGGTGACTTGGTGGACCTTTGTTTCCCATCAAGTCCCTTTCTTCTAGCAACCAAGCGCCCCTGCAGCCTGCCCCTGACACAGCCTGGCAGCAGGTGCTTACCCTCCAAGGGAAACAGCCAGGCCCTGTGCCCCATATGCAATGAACAAGGCTGGGCTGTGCCCCTTTCCTGCAAGCAATCAGCACAGGCCCTCAAGCATGAGATTTAATTGCTTGTTCATTATTTTAGCTTGCAGGGGCTACAAGGAAGTATGGCATTTCTGAGCATACCATCCGAAGAAACCCTGGGAGCTGTCAAATTAAAAAATAACAACAGAAACGAGAAAGGAGCCTGTCTTTAGCCGAACGGTTTCAGGTGCCTGTGACTCAATGAGAGGGCCCCCATCAAAACCCATGGAAGCCCCTCACTGTTTGTTCTGCCCTTTTCAATTCTGTCTGAGCGGGGAGGAGAGTGCCACAAAGAGATGAGAATTTGAACTCGCAGCCCCCGAGTGCACCAATGTCCTTTTTCTGCCTGATTGTATACTTAAAGTGCCTGTAAAGTCAATAACTTCCCATGGTTTCACAGCAAAGCCAAAAGATTAAAAAAGAGACATTGTCCTTTTGAAGATGTGGAAAGTAATAAGTGAGCAGGCTGAATCCTCTTTGGGTTTAAAAGCCTGTGCAGTTCTGCTTTAAGGTGTCAAAATTGCCTTAAATCTTTAGCTTTGTTATACCCTGCTGCTACACAGATATAATAGAACCAGGCTGACTCTCTCAAACAATTTGGAGATCATTTTTTCTCTCTAAAAACTTTGTTGAAATATATATGTTAGCACAGACTTTTTCTTAACATTTTCTGTTTAAAATATAGTATCTTTTTCAGATGCATCTTAAGAGATCAGAATAGTCAAACAGTAGCTCTCTTTTTGAAAAAAAAATTGTACACCATCTTCAAGTTTTAAGCACAAAGGTTACAGCTAGTTCTCCTCCCCCATTTTATTTCCACTGTTGGAGCAGATTTGACCTCGTCTCTCTAAAGGCAGAAAACTTCAACAAAGGCGGGAGGACTATTTAAAGTGATGAAAAAGATTCTGAATGAAGGATTATGCCTTTGATGAAGGCTGAAAGAAATGCAGTGCTTAGGAAGTGGATAAAAGTCAACAGCAACAATTCTTTGCTTTGGATGAAACCTTAAAGGTGCACTTTTCCCCAGTGATATGAAAAATAAAAAAATAAAAACAACCAACCAGAGACACGTAACTCTTCTGGTTCTGTGGCATCTGTACATTCACATGATAGAAACTTACTAAATCCCAAAGGGACCCTGGCAAAGCCCAGGCTCCATGATAGGCTGGGAGCCCTGCCACTGCACCAGGAGAAAAGGAGTCACTAGACTCTGGATGGGGAAGAGAAAAGCCTCTTTCCTCCCTCCCATTCCAAAAGAGAAGAAAAAACCTGGACAGCCAGATATAAGCAGCCTCGAAAAATCTCTCTAGAGGAGAAAAGACAGGAAGAATGTCATCCAGAAAGAAGGCCAGGAGACGATGCTACAAAGGTGCTTTTTCTCCCTCCTCACTTTCCACCTTTCCCACTGTCGCCTCTCCCTCTAAACCACCCACACTCATCTCTCTCCAGATTCTGCTCTCCCGCTGGAGCCTGACCAACACATTTCCCAAAAGCAGATGAAAAAAAAAAAAAAAAAGCAAGGGTCTCAGGCTCTGTCACATCCAACTCATTCTTATGTGCCAGGGAGACACAGAGTGACATTTTGTGTATCTGTTGGATTGTGAATTACCACTTAAGCATAAAGACTGTTCTCAACAGTGAGATTCCCTTCATGTAGACACCCTCATGCTTCAGCTAGGTGCTTACAGGTGAATAGTTACTCAAAAATCGTCATGTAGCAAATTTGGTTTCTGAACCTTGAATTAGAGAGACTCAGGCATGCACCAAGGAAATGTCTAGCTATGCTCTTCTCCAGCCTCCCACCCGACTGCGGGTCTTAGCGATATTCTGTTGGTATCACTATGGTGTGCCGGGCTTTTGTTTGAATGGTCCAACCTGGCTGCGATCATTTTATGAGCAGACCTAATCGCTCTGCCGGTGTCTGCATTGTCTGCTTCAAAAGTCAGGTTCACCAGAGAGAGTAATTTCTTAATGGAAAGAATTTGTTATCAGTTTAGGCCACAAGCCCGAATCTTTGAAACAGCATGACTCAGATAGCTCATCACTCAGAGAATTACGGTTTTGCATCCCTCGGTTCTAAGTGAGGTTTGCTTCCTCTTTTGAGGACAGCAGAATTAAATTACCAGAGCCATCTCACTGGTCATTCATTTAGTATTTACCACACCTACTATGTGCAAGGCGTAGTGGGAAGTAGAAAGATTAGAAAGAAAAGCTCCTGGCCAGGCGTGGTGGCTCTCACCTGTAATCCCAGCACTTTAGGAGGCCAAGGCGGCTGGCTCACCCTGAGGTCAGGAGTTTGAGATCAGCCTGGCCAACATGGTGAAAACCCATCTCTACTAAAAATACAAAAATTAGCCAGGCATGGTGGGGGATGCCTGTAATCCCAGCTACTTGTGAGGCTGAGGCAGGAGAATTGCTTGAACCCGGGAGGTGGAGGTTGCAGTGAGTCGAGATTGGCCATTGCACTCTAGCCTGGTCAACAATAGCGAAACTCCATCTCAAAAAAATAAAAAGAAAGAAAGAAAAGCTCCTCTATCAAAGAGGTTAGTAGCTTACAGATCTTAGAATCACACAACTTAGAAAAAAATGTTGAAGCTTATATATAGAATCCAAGTGCTTTATTTTATAGATGAAGAAGACAGACTCTGAACTATTCTGTATCTCCTGTGGTAAACTACAGAGGTAATTCTCAAACCCAGGTCTTCTGACTCAAAGAAGGACTGTGCCTTTCCATTCTGTTTCTAACAGCTGAGAGGCTCCAGCATCCCCAGGTCCCAGAGGCCTATGTGGTCTAGAAAGCTGGTGCGTGGTCATCAGTCAAAAGCACACACACCCCTCACTGCATACATACACCACGGCCAGCACACACCTGGAGGTTTGAATACACGCATTCACACACTTACGTAATTCTCACAATAAGTGTTTGAGGCAAGGATTGGCATTCAGGATGTAAGCTTGACAAGCTGAGTGCGGTGTTAAATAACCCATTCAAGGTCAAAGGGTCCCCGTGGCGAATTGAGGACTCAAAACTCAGTCTGTTCTCTGCCCCTACACACCAGTAGCCTCAATTTCCAACTCGTTTGTTTGTTCTCTGTTATAAACTGAATGCTTGTGTCTCTCTCACAAAATTCACATGTTAAAATCCTAATCCCCAATGTGAGAGTATCAGGAGGTGAGGCCTTTGGGGGCGATTAGGTCATTAGGGTGAAGCCCTCATGGTGGGATTAGAGTCTTTGTTAGAAGAGACACAACAGAGATCATTGTTTCTCTTCAGCCATGTGAGGACAGACAAGATGTCCATCTACAAACCAGAAAGGGGGCCCTCACCAGACACCAAGTCTGCTGGAGCCTTGATCTTGGACTTCCTAGCCTCCAGAACTATAAGAAAAAATGTCTGGCTGGGCGCGGTGGCTCATGCCTGTAATACCAGCACTTTGGGAAGCCAAGGCGGGTGGATTACTAGAGGTCAGGAGTTTGAGACTAGCCTGGCCAACATGGTGAAACCCTGTCTCTACTAAAAATACAAAAATTAGTGGGACGTGGTGGCACATGCCTATAACCGCAGCTACTCGGGAAGCTGGGGCAGGAGAATCGCTTGAACCGGGAGGCAGAGGTTGCAATGAGCTGAGATTGCACCACTGCACTCCAGCCTGGGTGACAGAGCCAGACTCTGTCTCAAAAAAAAAGAAAAAAGAAAAAAAAAGAAATGTTTGTTGTTTAAGCCAGCCGGTCCATGATATTCTGTTATAGCAGGCCAGACTGACTCATACACTCCCTTTGTTTCATCTTCATGTATTTCTGGCATCCTAGTTTGTACCAAATAATGGAATCTTACAATTTTAGAAATGGAAATGTTCTTAGAGACGATGTGGTCCAGATCTCTCATTTTACAGGTGAGGTAGCCAGTCCAGTGACTCATCTGTGCTCAGGTCATGAGAGCCACGCAAGCTCTAGAGAGCACACACGGAGTGAGAGAGAGAAGCCGAGATCCTGTCCCCGCAGGCACTAGCCTCTCCATGCTTTCATACAACACAGGTGTCACCCTGGTTGTCCCAAGCCTCAGCAGCCAGTGGATGTTAATATGGTCACATTATTAATAAAAACAAGAATGAATAAAGTACTAACTTGACATAGGAGCCATACATATGCATCTGTCTACTACAGAACCTCCCATCCCTCTCCAAGTCCTCACCTGGGTTTTCTGGAGTCCCATTGTCTGTCTCACAATCACCCTTATTTGTACTCAACACCCTAGACATCATTCAAGTGTTTTCCTCAGTCACGACGGTAGCTGCTCAGACCTTCTTTGTCAATGTCTGCTTCCCCTGAAAAGCCTTCTCTCTCATGCCTCTCTGCCTGTGTCCACAGTGTCTGAATTAAAGGTCCTTGGTCCTCAAGGAACCAAGACTACACTGAGATCCAATCTTGGGAAGCGCCTCTCCTTCAACCTCTGGTACCACTCATCCATAAACACCAACACTGTTTGCCTCTTTGTGTATCATAAAGTCCCTCATTGAAACAGCCCTTAAACTCCAGTCTGGAAAACAAATCCACTGGGCTACAGTAAGGACCAATTTTAGACACAGACATCCTCCCCCTTCCTCTTGACCCCAGGTATTCTCTGCCAAACTACAACTCCTCCAGGAAATCAGCATCTAGCAGCACCCCCACCAACCCATGGAGGTTTGTTTTGTTTTGTTTTGTTTTGTTTTGTTTTTTTGAGACAGGTCTCCTCTGTCAGTGCAGTGGTGCAGTCATGGCTGGAGTGCAGTGGTGCAATCATGGCTCACTGCAGCCTGGGCCTCCCCGGGCTCAGGTGATCATCCATGGAGCAAGTTTGAAGAGATCCGAAGCCCAAGGTAGGCTCAGGCTAGAATTCCCACTATATACAGATCGCTAGATTCAATTTAAATGTGTCTTAAATTTTACAAATTATGCAACAGGATTAAAGATGTAATTGAACAAAACTTGTCCAAGAAGGTCCTTGGTATTTTCTCTCTTCTGGAAATCATCGATGAAAAAGCATGTTCCATGAGCTGGCAGAACTCAATCTTTTAAGGGGAAAAAAGGTCATTTAATTGCACAATAAGAGGCATACTGTGGGCAGAAAACAGCTCCCTATTTATTGCATGTATCAAATTATTTAGGTATCTAAGAGAGAAAGGTGGATGTACCAAAAACCTAGGCTATGTGTAATCATAGAAATTGAGTATCAAATTGAGTTCTACACTTCCTAGAAGCCAAGATAAAAAGTAAAATAGATAAGTTATATAGTTCTCCACTATTATTCATCTCATAGAGTAATACAGCATCTGGTCTAACAGCCAAAAGCCTATCATCACATAAATAAATGATTAATTGTCTGGATCTCTAAATAAAGGGAATAAATCACCCTAGACAACAAGGTCTTGGAGGGCCTCGTCTGGGTGGTCCCCACCACATGCCCCAAAACAGTTTTCCATAATAGTCAGAAACCAATTTCATCTGCCTTCTTATGCAAAGTACGAGAAGAAGTCACATTGCTTTCTTTCCTGATCATTTTGAGGAGGTGTTTTTACAAAGACCTCCTGCTCTGAACACTGCTAGTTCTGCCTGTAATGGGCCCAGCTTCCTAGATGGACCACACATGGTACCAAGCATGGCTTATGAGACCCTTGAGCCTGGCTTATGATGACCCTTGGTGGTCATTTTCCTCATCATTTTCAGCCTGGGCAAGCTTGTCTGTCTCTCTTGGACACAGGAAGGTGCCTCATTAACCTCTTTTTACCCTCTCCCATAACCAGTGCACAAAAAGATGCTTGGATCCTGGGTCTGGACTGAAGGAAATGTGCATCTTCTTGAGTTTAGGTCCATGGAGGGACATCATGGTCCAACAAAACCAACCCCAGATCTCCACAGCAGCCTCAACAGGAAAATAGTGTGTGCCTAAAAGCAGGTTTTTCATCACATAATACTGACTGTGGGGATGTGGGGGAAATAGAGGAGGGTGTTCCCAGCCTTGAGAAGCCCAGCTGTGGAGGCAGGACCATGGAACAACAACCAGAAAGTAGGATTGTGTGGGAGGGCGAAGACTAGAGGGTTAAGAGTGCAAGCTCTGGAGTCAGGAAGATCCAAGTGTGAACCCCAACTCTGTTCCTTATGAGCTGCTTGGCTTTGGGCAGACTAGTTAAATTCTCTGTGCCTCGGTTTCTTCATCTGAAAACCAGGGAGAACTTGTTGGAATTGTTGTGAGAGCCAGTGGAGATCAGGGATGGCAAGAAGGGAGCAGCGTTAGCCACATGTTAAGTCGCTCACAGCAAATTCTAGCTGTTATCCCTGTTCTGTTGCCATCACCACTACTCCTTAAGTTTCGGGAAACTTCAGAGAGAGAGAGATGATTGGATGCTGGAAACAGAGAATCCTGCACAACCTCACGTGGGTTCTAGGATCAGAGAGGCCTGTATTTGAATCTCATTTGATTACCTCAATGAATTTACACAAGAAACTCAATACCTTTGAACATCAGTTTCTTTGCCTCTAAAGTGGGAACAGTAATGCCTATGATGCATGTTTATTATGTTTGTCTCTAAGAAAAAAAATGTCATTTGATTGCGCAATAAGAAACATACTTCATCTGTGGGCAGAAAACAACTTCCTGTTTATGGCCTGCATCAGTATATTTATGCACCTATCAGAGAAAGACAGATGTATCAAAAACATAGATATAACATACAAATCACCCTTATTACAGCCCTGGGCCTTAATGGACCCTCAGTAAACAAGAGCTTCTATGAGTAATATGAGGCAACTAGATTCAAGCACGACTTCAAAAAGTAAACAGAATTAGACTGGCAAATTGAGTATATGGAGAAGATATTTCAGAACCAGGGGAGAGGATGAGAGTCAGCACAGAAGGGAGAATAAGCTCATTAGATATGAGATGAATTCAGGAGAACAGTCTGAATTTGGGGAGCGATTCATTGGGAACAATGGCAGGTAAGACCACATAAAGAAACAGACCCAAACACTAGGATGTGGGCTGAAAAGTGAACAGAAGGTTACCATTGTGAGCTCCAAAGCAGAGAGTAGCCAGATGGGATCCAAGTTGTAAAAGATCAGCCTGGCCGGCCGGGCGCAGTGGCTCATGCCTGTAATCCCAGCACTTTGGGAGGCCAAGGTGGGTGGATCACAAGGTCAGGAGATGGAGATCATCCTGGCTGACACAGTGAAACCCCATCTCTACTAAAAATATAAAAAATCAGCTGGGCAAGGTGGCGGGCACCTGTAGTGCCAGGTACTCGGGAGGCTGGGGCAGGAGAATGGCATGAACTCGGCAGATGGAGATTGCAGTGAGCCGAGATCGAGCCACTGCACTCCAGCCCGGGCAACAGAGCGAGACTCCGTCTCAGGAAAAAAAAAAAAAAAAAAAAAAAAGATCAGCCTGGCCATGATAAGCAGAGTGGATGGAGTAAAGAGGAACTTGAGGGGTGTAGTCTTCAATACCTAGGGATTGTAGATGAGTACAATTCTGAACATTTCCAGCTTGTACAGCTCAACTCTCCATTTCCAACCTAATTAAATTTCATGTGGATATTCACTTTCTCTATTACTGCCATTGCTATTCTGCACAGTAAAGAATTCTTTTCCAAGACCCAAGGGATGTGTAGATATGGATTCCATGAGGATTCTAGTCACTCACCTTCTACTGATTTTTAGCTTAAAACACAGTAGAAAATTATTGACATTATTTCCTTGAAAACCCTTCCCTGCCTGTGCATGTCTGTGTCAATAATTGTCATGTAGCAATTGGAAACGGGCCTTTGGCAGCTCGCCTAGGAATGTCAAATAGTCTCCATTAGGTTTGAAAGCTCCGAGTTTCAGTAATGGGTTGATACTCTACCTGATATGATTGTACAAAATTACATAATTGATTTCTGGGACACTGTGCCACACAAATTTTATAGGTTTCTTTTATTTTGTGCCTCAAAAGGCAAGTATGCTTTCCTTCATTTTCCTCAGCAAGAGGATTTCAAGTCTTGCTCCTGGCTGGTCCAGATGAAGCTCAGGTATTTTATAAGGCTCTACACCCCTTTTCTCAGTTATTTTACACATCAAAGACTGTGATTTTCCACTGGCTTCTAGGAGTTGGTAACTAACTAAAAAGTGGGCCTGAGAATGTTGTCTTACCAACTATACAGTGCACAAAGGATATTCTTCCCAGCCTAAAATTAGGAACGAACATTGCTTAATTGTTTCAGTATGTTTGCAGTGTTTCTTTTTTCATTCAGCTTTATGATGACTGCAAATGTAGCATTTGCTACATATCTTTATATTTGGTTAATGCAGGCATTCTCTTTAAAAGAATCAGTTATTTCTAATCTCAGAAAGCCTATGGTCAGGGAACAATGACAAGGTAAGAAAGAACTGGCTTCTGTGCAATCTCTTCTCTCTGTGTCAATGGCTCTAAGGACTAACGGGCTGCCATTCAGCATCACTGTTCTGTCTGGGCCAAAGCAGAGAGGAAAAGCTAGATAGGCCCCAATTCGGTGTCACTGGGCAATTGTCCCTAATATTTAACAATGGCCATGACAAACCCTATGCTTGGGGGTAGGAGAAAGAAGTCATTAGTGCGACTAGGTGCTGGGGGAACTGTGAGCGCATTTCGAAAGCAACATCTTGTATTAAGAGAGAAGAATATAATGAAATGCAAAAAGGCATATTATAAGAATAGTAATATTCTTTAAGAATACTGAAAGGCAAGAAGAACTGAAATCAAAACAAAACCTGATGAATGAAAATTATTTCATTTGTTCTGGTCGGGCACAATGCCTCACGCCTGTAATCCCAGTACTTTGGGAGGCCAAGGCTGGTGGATTGCTTGAGGTCAGGAGTTTGAGACCAGCCTGGCCAACATGGTGAAACCCCGTCTCTACTAAAAATATTAAAAAATTGGTCAGGCATGGTGGTGCATGCCCGTAGTCCTAGCTACTCAGGAGGCTGAGACAAGAGAGTTACTTGAACCCGGGAGGTGGAGGTTGTAGTGAGTCGAGATCGTGCCACTGCACTCAACCCTGGGCTACAGAGTGAGACTCTATCTCAACCAGAAAAATAACTAAAAAATAAAAAGAAAATTATTTTATTTGTTTAATATGGCTCACAAACTGAATGCTAAACTGAGTTACAATGAACTCATATTCAAGTAAACTGATTTTCAGATATGATATTCAAACTGAAGGACTTAAGAAAACTTCTCATTCCTTCTCCTTGCAAACTGCATTTCTTTTAGATAGAACTTTCTAAATAATTAACAAAAATAGATTGCTACCAACGGACAATTCCAGAAATATTTCCAAGTAAGAAAAGTGACAACCTAGAAAATACTATATACTATGTGATCAAGACCTAATATTATACCTTGTGTGGTGATATGCCCCCACATAGGCAAGAATCTAATTGACAACACTCTTACCAAAGATGTAATACACATTTTATTCTAGTGTTCAAGAGAATTCTAAGGGTGGAATCATCTCAAGAATGCCATACATGTATGGTTTTACTGTTAGAAATTGTGACATTACCAGAAGTGTCATGTTATTTTCTAAATGAAAATCATTTGAAATTAATTTTGTTTTGAGATGTTCACAACTTCCTCAGAAATACTTGGGAGATATGCCAAGGTGTTATAAAACCAGTGCTTGGCTGGACATGGTGGCTCACACCTGTAATCCCAGCACTTTGGGAGGCTGAGGCAGGCAGATCATGAGGTCAGGAGTTCAAGACCAACCTGACCAACATGGTAGAGCACCGTTTCTACTAAAAATACAAAAATTAGCCAGGCCTGGTGGCTCGTGCCTGTAATTTCAGCTACTCCAGAGCCTGAGGCAGGAGAATCACTTGAACCTGGGAGGCAGAGGTTGCAGTGAGCTGAGACCACGCCATTGCACTCCAGCCTGGGTGACAGAGTGAGACTCTGTCTTGAAAAAAAAAAAAAAAAAAAAACAGTGCCCAGTCTTTATTCCATGCTTATTCCAGTCAATATGGATAGATGGACTATTCTACACAAGACACAGTTCAGTCAGCAGTCAGGATGTGAGAATTACAAATTGAGAACAGTTCCCACCCGCATGGAGCAGAAATACAATCAAACATCCAAAAACCCAAGTCCACCCATTTGTTCTTAAATGCAAGAATTATCTACCCAAATTTTAGACAGATAAAATAGATAAATAAACAAGCCATCATCAGTAATTTCTCCATTTACCCAATATCATAAACTTTAGAAAAGAAATTCCACTTCCGAGGCTAAAGTTTGAGTAATTCCTCAGTGTAGCTTTGGAGTGGGAGGCCTTTCTGTGATGTATTTTCTTACAATGACCATGATTTTTTTTCTACACAGCTATTAAAACATCCTTAGGCAGGTATTTGAAAATCAAACATTGTTTTGACCTTTCAATTTCTGTGGAAGCCAGCAGTTGTCCTCAGCTATAGCCAGTTCTCCTCTCACTCTGGGTACCAAAAAAAAAAAAAAAGAAAAACCTAGCTTCCTGACCCCCTGGTGGGTGCTGTGGAAGTGGTTATAGGACTGCTTCAGACCAATGTGTTGGGACACACATGCCCTCCATGCCAGAGCCTTTAATTGCCCATACTAGACATGCCCAGCATTCTCTTTTCAAAGTGATGCCATCTTCTCTCCAATGACTGATCTTTCAGTCTGGATCCTGGAGAAAGAACCGCAGAGAGCAGAGCTCTCTACCAACCTTGAGGGCCATGTGACAAGAGAAAGAAATTACCCTGGTAATTAGCCATTGAGTTTCAGGGATTGCTTGTTACTACAGCATAACTAAGCCCATCTTGATCGATAACTTCTTTTAGTTTCACTGCTGAAATGCTCTCAGGGTTTTCTATCAGAGGGGAATTGAGCAGGAGAAAAGAAAATAAAGGCCCTCAGGATGCCATCAGTGGGCTTGGGAGCCTTTAAAGGCATGAGCTTTTTTATGTTTCATAAGAAGAAAGATGACTTGTGAGAACCAGGGCATGTGGAACTATGCCCATTATCCTATAGAAAAAAAGGAAGGCTTTCCTCCTCTTTCTTAGAGGGGTTAATTCTCTCCAACTATGTACCTCTCTCCTAGGCAAATGGCTTTAGGCTAGATGGAATTGGATCAGGAGGTAGGGCTGATAACAGGACTAAAAAGAAGCTCTTAGGAAGATCTAAGAAACCAATACCAGGAGTGCCCAGGTCACCCTATGCAGCTGTCACACATTCATCACGCAGGTTGAGAGTTTCCTAACATTCTGAATGACTTGTAGTGCTGGACCCTGGACCCCCTCTCTGCTATGAAATTCTCCATTCTGACATCTGACTCACCTTGGAGACTTACATGAAGTAGTCTCTTCCACAAATATCCTTCGAGCCTTGGGCATCCCATCGGCCACCTTGTATGAGGTGCAGTCCAGTGGTTTCTACTTGTGGCTGGGCAGCAGCTTGCATAGTTTTGTTAACATGCAGATGGAGGGAGGTTGGGATTCATCACATCTGGAGTGTTCACCTCCCTTCCCTCCTGCCCCCATGTGTACTTCAAAAACATCTCACCAGTGACTCTGCTGGGTAGTCAGGCACCATTGAAAGCCACTGCTATATAAATGCTTTTCCTTTCAGATCACCAGTGTATTAGTCTGTTCTCATGCTGTTGATAAAGACATACCTGAGACTGGGCAATTTACAGAAGAAAGAGGTTTGATGGACTTACAGTTCCACGTGGCAGAGACCTCACAATTATGGCAGAAGGCAAGGAGGAGCAAGTCACATCTTATATGGATGGCAGCAGGCAAAGAGAGAGTTTGTACAGAGAAACTCCTGTTTATAAAGCCATCAGATCTCATGAGACCCATTCACTATGACAAGAACAGCACAGGAAAGACCCCACCCCATGATTCAGTCATCTCCCACTAGGTTTCTCCCACAACACCTGGGAATTATGGGAGCTACAAGATAAGAATTCGGGTGGGGACACAGAGCCAAACCATATCAACCAGGGAAATAAACAACTTCTAATAATAATAACAACAATAATTGTTAACATTTATTGAGCACACACATGCAACTTCTGAGCATTGGCTCATTTAATTCTCATACCAATCCTACGAACTAAATGCTGATATGATTCTCATTTTATAAACTTATCCAACGTCACATAGGAATAAGTGGCAGAATAAGAGTGAGAACTCAAATCCACAAAGCTCTAAAGGCCTTCTTTCCCAAAGCAGAATCCAAACTCTTTAAGCTGAATTTCTTTGTTTCCAATTAAAACACAGTCACAGCCACTGGAGGTATTACACTATGGAACTTGCCTGTTCTCCTCAGGGGGAGCTGACTCCATGCTACCAATCTTCTGGTGCTGAGTGAGTGCCCAGGAAGAACCTGCTTCCTAGTCTCCCTGTAAGATAGGCTGGGTCTCCAGGACTGAGTTCCAGCCAGTGGAACATGGGTGCCTTCTAGGCCTCGCAGAAGACATCTCGCAGGCTGTCCACGCAAGCATGGCTCCTTCTGCATCCCGGGAGGCCGTGTGCTTAAGGTGGCAGCAAGACAGGTTAGAAGCGACCTGGATTTCTGAGCCTTCTTTTAGAGGAGAGCTTCCCAGAAAAGCTACCCAGCCTGCAGCAAACTATTACAGGAGGGTGGAATAACCCTTGATTGTGAAAAGTCACTAAGATTTGGAGGTTGATCTTGTAGCAGCTAGAGTTCCTTATTCTGACAAATATACTCTCCTATAGTAATAACATGGAAATACTCATGAATGGGTTATAGTTCCATTTTTCAAATTCCACACAAATATTCCAAATCTCATCATCACCAAGATGATCCAAAACAAATAATGATCCAACAACTCACCTGCAACACATCCAAGGACCCTCCCCCACCTCCCCACAAGAAACTCTTTTTTTCTGGATTACTTCTAAGACGATCACTTTATTCATGTCATCCCATCTTACCCGACTATTTGGTGCTGTATCTTAGAAAATCATTTTAGAAAATCTTCCTTTTAAAAGCCTTCCAAAACCACAGCATGTGTGAGTGGGTGAAGCATGCCAGTTTATTCCAACTGCTCACAGGATACAGAGGTTGAAGATGCCATTCCAGTTAATCAATTACAACCCATATGGGGCTGTTTTAATCAGTGCTTCAAGATGCACCTGGAAACAATTAACTCTCATAGGTAACAATAGCAAGAATAGAGAAAGTATTCCTGTGCTGTTGCAAATGGCACCTTCATTTTGCATCATCTGAGAGTCTCAGGTGTCTTGCAAGAGTGAGGCCCTGTAGCACATTCCAAAAGGAAATGATGATTACTTTGGTCTTTGCATGCAAGTGATCATTGTACAAAACTGATTACCACTGCATGGTGGTCAGTGGGACTTAAATTCATACCGGATGATGGCTTAGGATATTACATTCTCACAGTCTAAATTTGTCTTAGAGATGTTCATCCACTTAACATATTTTTAAAGAAAGTTTGGCAAAATGCAAGGCTGGGATGTGACAGTTCTGTGACAGATCTCTCAAACAGAAAAGATAACAATGGGGACTCTACATCACTGACGGCACAAAAATTAGTAACAGGCTGAGCGATCTGAAGACAATTCTGGATTTAACGTTCTCATATTTTTAAGTTATTAAGTGAATATTGAGATTTATATATTTTGTCTTATAATAGGGTACACAGAGACAGAAAGAGAAAACTTTTTTGATAAGAGTGTTTGAAAAAAAAGAATGGCATTTCAACCTGGATATATTGTAGATGAAGGAGTACGTGGGGAAAGAGAGGGAGCACACATTTGCACACAACGCACTGCCCCAGTGATGCATTTCTGAGGAACTTTTAAAACTAGGGTGTAGGTTTGCTATATATACAGACTTCCCTTATTGAAAAGATGCTCCTTTAGTTAGAGCAATGTTTCCCAAAGAGGGGTCCAAAGATACCCTAAAAGAGAGTAACCTGGGATATTATACACAAATCAGATTCCTCAGCCTAATCTTCAGTCAAATGAATCAGAATGTCTGGGACCTTGGTATCTAGAATTTTAACAATCACCATGTGACTCAGAATCACTAGCAGTGAGAGATGAAGTGGAAGAAATAGAAGGCATCAAAGGCAGAAAGAATTTTTCTGCACACGAACCCAGAGAAGTCAACCCCACAGCAGTGGCATTTTTTCAAAATTAAGATTTTAAAGATCAGAATAAATAAGAATTAAATGTGTCTATCTATATAAAAGAGATCAGATGAAAGGGTAGTGTGAGAAAATCATTCTGCATCCAATAGAGATAAATTTGAGGTCTAACTTTTTATTCTACTAAATAGAAATAAAGATCATAAGATGCAAAAGGTAATAAGGAGACAGACAAGTATTACAATGCCCACTGTGCTTAGCAACCAGCTTAAGAAAATACCTTTTGTTCTTCATTTTATATTCCTCTCTACTTTTAGCTTTCTTCTGGTTTTAAAAACGAAGACTCCATAGCAGTCAAAGGGGAAATGTTTTGAAGCAGCTATTAGAAAGACAGCTTTTCTCCCTCAAACAGCCAGCACAATCCATCCTTCACATATCAGAACTTCTCAGTGGGAGGTTAAATTCTGAAAGTGGTTTGGTGAGGATTTCCTGTTCCACCTTTCAATGTATCATCTGTTTCCCAATCTACTGCATCCAAGGTGCTGCGTCCAGTCCCTCCACCATTGCTAGAGCCTGTGCAAGTGCGACTGGAAATAGATGGAACTTGAGCAATCAAAACCACATTTTCAAAGGAAAAAGATGAGATGGCTCATACTTTTTAGACAACAGGGAAGTTTCAGTACATTTGAACACCAATGAAGGTATGAGAGCAAGACAGAAACTCACAAATGAAAATACTGCATGAACCTTGGTTATCTGCTTGTGAAGCAGATTTCAGCTGCTCAACACAATCCATGATGGCAAATGTTGCAATGCCTAATTGTCGCCATGGCATTCTAAGGCATAGTTTGAGAGAAACATACAGAAAAATATTGTACAGAAATCAGAATATAGTGCGCTTACAAAGAAAGTGACCCTACCATCCAGCTGTGAGCCCATGAGGGCAGGCACATTCCTGAAATGCTCATGAAAGTCTCCAGTGCCTCACACACTCCTTAACTCTTGTAGGTATGCATCAACACCCAAATAAATTAATTCATTTTGAAAAGATAGAAAATTAAAAATCACTACAAATAAGATGGGCTTTCTCAAAACTATCAGAAGAAACTCCAGGCTACAGCCTATCATTGCACTGAGTCTTACTGAGTTACTTCCTAAGTATCTTTCAAAACCTTCCACCTTGCCCTACCTCTGCCACCCTCACCTTAATCTCAACCACCATCAGCTCTTTCCTAGACAACTACAAGGTCCTTTTAAAGCATCTCCACTCATTGACAAGCTCGCCTTCAATCTTCTGTTCATATTTCAACCACACTCATCTTTTTCAACTGCAAATCAGATCGTCACATACACAGTGACACACCACCCCACCCACATGCACGCAAGCCAGGTTAAACCATTTCAGTGATTCTCCTTGCCCTTAGAATAAAGACAAAAACTCTTAATATGGCTACCAAGACCTGCATGATCTGGCTGCTATCTGGTCCTACATGGTCACCTTGCAGCAGGCTCCAGCCACGTCGGTCTGCTCTCCAGCCCTCTAAGACCCCCAAGCCACCTCTGCCACAGGGCTTCGCTGCTTGCCGTGCCCTCCACTGGAATCCTTCTGCCCCTCCCCACTTCCTGTGCCTTTCTTTCTTTTTGCAATTACAAATCTTTCAGATCTCAGCTCACATATGCCTTCTTTAAGGAGCCTCTGTCGGCATCTGTGTCTAGACAACTTTCCCTACTGTTTATTCTTAAGTCACCTTAAACCTCTCCCTGGCAGCACTTAGGAAAGTCTTTATTTCCTGTTCATTTATGTGATTATTTGACTAAAATCTATCTTCTTTGCTACACTGAACACTCTTTGAGGGCAGGGATTATGTGTTTAATTTTTACTCACAACTATATCTATCATCTAGTACAGTGCTTGGCATTATAGTTGGTTCTTAAGAAATATTTCTTAGATCCATGAATCAAGTCGGATACTGATGATTTAAGGGTATCCCATATATCTGTTGGTTCCATATCCCTAGCCTGAGGTTTTTTGATGGCATTGTTGTTTTCTTTTTACATCATGGAAGCTTCCTTTTTTGTCACATGATACACATTTAAATGATTTAACCAAGTTGCTAATGACATAAAGTCAGATTCAGACTTTTGTTGGAACCAGAAGTCCAAAGTATTCCCAAGCAAAGGGACCTGAGGTAGGAATTTCCAATAACGACATCCACAATGTTTTGGGGTCCTTAGAAAGCTTCTTGGGTATTGAAGCTAAAGCAACTGGCTCCATAATGGTTACAATAGAATGTGATTTCATAATGTTCAGGAAACAAAGTATTAAATTGCAAGTCAATAACAGGATAATATCAATGGAAATAATTGGTATCTGCATGGGGCTTAAATAAGAAAATTCAATACTGAGACCCAGCTCACAAGCAGAATGCTCACTGATTGGGTCTCACCCCTATAATGAGCTGTACCAAGCATAGGCAGAAAATTTTGAAAGGGCTGGGCATGGTGGCTCATGCCTGTGATCTGAGCATTTGGGGAGGCCAAGGCAGAAGGATCACTTGAAGCCAGGACCAGTTGGAGCAACAAAGCGAGACCCACAACTCTATAAAAATAAATCAAATAAATAAAAGTTTAAAAAAAATTTTAAAAAAAAGTTTCCAAGACTTTTTTCTCTTTTTTTTTTTTAAATAAAATGATCTTTCTTAGTCTCATGAACCCAGGTATGTGATACTCAGCAGATGATTTGGATCCATTAAAGATTAGCTCAGCAGATTGTTTTAGCTTCTAAAAATCTACCAAAATATTAATCTTTAATAAATATTTAACAATAACAAAAATTAACATATATAGAGTGAGAGACAAAGAGAACTTGGGCATTTACTCTGTACAAAAACATTGTAAAATTGACAAATTTGTGTTACTGTGTTCACAACTGTACACATGAAAACTCTGAGGCTCACTCACACAGTTGCTAAGCGGCCCAAACAGAATTCAAATCTATCTCAAAATCCATGATACCACCATCCCTACAGCCCTTTTAAAAAGAGAAAATGTGCTGATCAGTTTTTGCAACATGGTATATTAAATATCTTAGTTGCAACGTAAAATATATTAAAGCGATCCATTTCTACCACCCAAGTTTTTTCGTTTAAGATATTTTCCATAAATTTTTTCTAAAAGAAAGTCTTAAGCAGATTTTAGAATTTTATTTCACACTGAGACAAAGGATAAAGTATCTTCTGAGTTCCAGGCACGTTCCTTGCTATTTCACTCACACAGAGGTCTGCTCTTCATTTTTTTTTTCTCTCTTTCATTCAAAAAGCAATTCCACTACCAACCTGAGGTTAGCTACATTAATCTAATGTCAACTCCATTATTGTTAATTATTTTATGGTGGCTATATTTTAAGAGAAGGGGTACAGAGATCCCTTATGTCATTTGATAGCCCACCAAGAATTATATTGAAACAACTACATTGATTTCCAGATCTCAGCAAGCAACTAGGACATAATTAAACTTTTATCTCTGCAAATTTTGCTGTCTTTTTTTTTTTTTAACCTGGTTACCTATTGTTCAGCAGACTAATCTTATTTTGCTTCTCAGTTGGGCCTAAAATTTCATTCAATGCTCAAGAAATAAATTAAAATGAAAGACATATAATATCTGGACATTTCTCAAATAAGAATTTCCATTGGCATATTTTCTGTGGGTTCATTTTCTTCCTATTTCTTATTTGACTTTAATAAAGCTATATTCTATTGAAGTTAAATAAAAGCATTCCTCTGAGCACTTGGAGTTAAATTACAATAGCTATAAGTCTGAAGAAGCAGCCATTTCAAGATTCTACTTGACCTACCTTAGAAGAGATAACCTGTAGCTATAGAGAAAGCAGGCTCTACTGGGACCCGTGCCACGTAACTCACTTCAAGCTCCCGGGCTCTTCCCTCCCATGCACATCTGTCACCCCACCTTGCTCCCACCTCACCCCTCGCTATAGGCCTTAAACTTGATGAGAAGGAAACTTTCTCCAGACTTCTGGAAATTTTTCCTTCCATCTTCGTTTTTAAAAAATTAGCAAGTGAAGGAGCAGTATGATGAAGTAGGAAGGGGGAAGGAAAGCCCACCAGGCTGAAAATAAACTTGAATTCCTGTTCTCATTAATGACCTATGTCATGCTGGGCAAGCACTTTTGTGCTGTCGGTGCCTCAATTTCCTCATCTAAAAATGTAAGGCGCTAGATTAGATCCAGGGCTGGGACTAGGGTGGAGTGAGTAAGGGGTTTACCTATGGTGTCAAATTTACAAGGGTACCCAAAATCAAAATTTATGCAAAAAAAATATGATGGGCAAAATATCAAAATTTTAAATAGTGATAGTCTCAGTGTAACTGATTTTCCTTTCGTCTCAGTGCAACTCTGCCATGAACCCTGATTCAGATTCATCTCCCTCTAATACCCTGTGACACGGGTTCTAGTCTCAGCTAACAGCACCTTGGAGGTAGCAGTACCCCATGTCTCCCTAAAGCCTGCAAAGTGAGGTCCAGCCTGGCACAACACCATAGGGATATTTTCATGGCAACCTGTAAGAATGTCTGATGGGCTCCTTACTTTTAACTCTCTTCCTCTCTTCCTCTCTTCCCGGGGAGACAGTGACTTCATACTGCTGCATTTTGGAGATTCTGCAGGCAATCAAGATTGAAATCACAATCTCATTTCCGTAAGAGCTTTGGGAGGGCACAGATTTCCAGCAAGCTGCCCGTGCCATCCTGGACCCTGACTTGCATTGACTTGATTAAACTGTAGCAGCAGACTGAAGCCTGCGCAGGGGACACATTCAAAGATTTTCTGAGGCTGTCTTCTCCCTGCCCCAGGATATTTCTATCCCTTTCCTCCTTTCCCTCCCATCAGGTCATCTGGGGAATCCCCTGCTTACTGCCTTTGGGAAGGGGTAGCACAGCATAGAAGGAGGATGACCACAAAGGTAAATATTGACTTTCAAAGCCAAAGATCAAAGTTCCTCCTTTTATTCCTGAGAACTCAGGAGACGTAAAATACCAGAGTAGCGACAACTGTGAGGTGAATCAAAGCAAGTAAGGGGACCTCATAGAGATCCTCTGAGCCCCAAGGTGGTGCAAGAAAGTGGTAGGGGACCTTAGAATGTCCTGAGGCTGGCAAGGGAGCAGTGGCATGTTTTCCACACTGCTCTAAGTATAAGAGTTCTCAGAATTGGACAAGTTGAATTATTTGAAAAGATAGAGAGAGCCACATCTCATACAGCCAAGTTAGTGGCCCCCTGTGATGGTTAATACTGATTGTCAACTTGATTGGATTGAAGGATGCAAAGTATTGATTTTGGATGTGTCTGCAAGGGTATTGCCAAAGGAGATTAACATTTGAATCAGTGGGCTGGGTAAGGCAGACCCACCCTTAGTCTGGGTGGGCACCATCTAATCAGTTGCCAGCACAGCCAGAATATAAAGTAGGCAGAAAAATGTGAAAAGGCTAGACTGGCTTAGCCTCCCAGCCTACATCTTTCTCCCATGCTGGATGCTTCCTGCCCTCAAACATCGAACTTCAAGTTCTTCAGCTTTGGGACTCAAATGGGCTTCCTTGCTCCTCAGCTGGCAGATGACTTGTGGGATCTGATGATCCTGTGAGTTTAATACTCCTTAATAAACTCCTGTTTAGATAGATAAATAGAGATATATCTATAGATTTATAGATATCAATATAGATATATAGATATAGATATGGATATAGATATAGATATCTAATTAGTTCTGTCCCTCTAGAGAAACCTGACTAATACACCCACCGTCTGTTTCTTCCTTGGGTGCTCTCCCTAAGAAACTTGTCTACATAGCACAGTGTGACACAGGAGTCCAGAATTATCTGGTCAAAGTGTATGAGGCAGTCTGGATGTGGACAAAGCCCTAGAAGGCCCATCGTGGGGGTGCTGAGGCCCTACCAAGCCTCGTCTCACATCTAGGCCAACACGCCTTCGCTATTCTCCTACAAAGCCAACATTCATAAATCTGAAGATGTAACCTTTTTTCAGAAACTATAGTTACTTAGATAATCTGATCTGCTCCCTCTATTGCTCCAGTATAGCTCATGCCCTGTGATTTATAAGGACTTCAACGTTCTTCTTTCGTATTTAAAAACCCTTATGCAAATCATGCCAGCAGCACAGCCAACGAAAGTTTTTTGCATTAATGCTCCACATTATTCACATACAAAAATTCCATTTAAATCTCATTAAGCTTGGGACATAAATCCAAACAAACTAGAAAATGCCCTGTTAAGGTAGAAAAGTGACATATGTCTTCCAATCCCCTGACAGAACAATGAGGAATGAAAAAAACGATAAGGTACTACCCATTTGGGACAGCGTACCAATGGACACATATGTTACTTTTCTGCCTTTAACTATTCACAGCCTTCCTGCTTTTATCTCAATAGCATTTAAATGAAGTATTTGTCAGCAACTATTTCTGGTAATGTGAAGTATGTGATTCAGGGAGGCTGTGAGCCGAGTTTCTGGAAACATAGCAGTATCCTGGGAAAATTATAAAAGGTCTGTCTGCTAACGGCATTTTTTTTTTATTTCCCTCTAGGCATTTCTTGGGGTTCGTGATATAATTTATCTGTCATGTAGTATTAACAATATACTTTTCAGGGACTTAAAGATTAGTGGGGCCCCTGGGCTGTCTGTCTCAACTTGCTGAGCACTGAACGTCCTTCACATTGTCATGCCTCATCTCTAATCTGGCTTTTCCTTTAAAACAATTATAATATCAGAGGGTTACACAGGCTTTACAACAGTGCCCTACACTCTTTATGACCATTGCTAATTGGCAATTAGTCGAAATTTTAATTCTATAATGTGTTTAGGTTAGCAATTTGGTGAGTTAGGGAGGAGCAGCTTTGGCCTTTGGCAATTGCAAATCTGAGTTTATCTCCCCTCTCAATGTGAACAAGCACAAGTTCAAGCGGTGCCCTGAGTGACAGCATTACAATATCATAATCATTTACAGAGCGTCTGCACAGAAAGAAATGAATTTTGGGAAAGCATTCAGCAGCTGCAGGACTCCCTTAGAAGGCTTAATAAAAGTATCTTAAAAGGTAGGATGAAAGCCCTTGCTGTTTCAAAGTAAAATGAAGTAGCTAGCCTATGTGGACAGCCCTCCAGCCACTCTCATTGAGCCTTCAGGGACTCCACCAGAAAAGGAGACATGTTTGTCTCCAGGCGCCAGAGGCTCAGGTCTGTTGTCTGTGGTTGTCAAGAGTAAGATGCATGCATAGGACCCCATCTCTATTCATTTTAGAGAAAGACAATGAAAGAGACACAGGGAGAAAAATGGAGAGAATGACTAGAAAAGGCTATTTGGTCAAAGACACAAGACCTACACACCCAGTGCCTGAAAGGCATTTATCCTCTCTCACCTAATCTCAACTCAAGCAAGGCTTCCCTGGGCACCCTTTCCCACTCCCCACGCCACAACTGAGGTGGAGCCCTCCTGGGACACATCACTGGAGCAGTGTGCAATGTTGCTTCACCGCACTTCTCAGTTTGTCATCGTGAAGGAAGAACAGTGAGGTGGGTAGGAACACGACCTCTGCAGCCACCCTGCCAGGGTTTGGATCTCAACTCTGCCACATGCTGCCCAATCCTGGGCAAGGAACTTATCCTTTGGCACCACAGTTCCAAAATGTGAAAGGCATCAGTAAAATGTGAGTTATGCATAGAAGATACATTGTTACAAATGCCTAGCCCATAGGATTCAGTAAGTGTTGCATGTTATTATTATTTTATATATACAATTATCCCTCTCTCCCAGTAGACTAAGAACCAGTGAAATTAAGGACTGTTTTGCTCACCTGGAACAGGACTTGGCCGAATCGATACTGATGGATGCATAGATAACAGTGATCTGAAAGCATTCTTGTAATTATTAAACATGCATAATTTCAGATGTATCCACATGCTTTTTTCATTTAAAAAATGTTATTGAGGTATAATTGATATAAACACTGCACATATTTAAAATGTACAATTTGATAAGCTTTGAAAATCATCACCACATTAAGAGAGTGAATCCTTTATAATCCCTTCTTCTAGCACCCCTACCCCACCCCAGGCAACCACTGATTAGCTTCCTGTCACAATGGATTAGTCTCTATTATCTAGAATTTTATATAAGTGGACTCTTCAGTATGTAATCGCTTTTGTCTGCCTTCTTTCATTCAGGCTATTTATTTTGAGTTTCATTCATTCTATTAGGTGTAGCAATATTTTGTTCCTTTCTACCTTTGAGTGGCATTATGTTGTATGGATATACCATAGTTTGATTATCTGTTGATAGACATTTGTGCTGTTTCTAGGATTTGGCTATTATTTAACAAGACTGCTAAGAACATTCATGGATGTGCCTTTGTATAGATATAAGTTTTCTTTCCTCTTGGGTAAATACTTAGTAGTGGAACGGTTGGACCATATAATAGGTCCAAGTTTAATTTTTTTAAAAACTACCACACTGCTTTCCAAAGAGATTGTAACATCTTACTTTCCACCTAGCAGTATATGAGATCTCCAGTTCCTCTACATCTTTGGTAATACTTGATGTAGTCAGTCCATTTAATTTTTCATTCTAACAGGTACGAAGCAGTACCTCACTGTGGCTTACTGTGGCTTTTCTTTGCATTTCTCTACTGGCTAATTGATGTTGAACATCTTTTCCATGTGCTTATTTGTCATCTGCATATCTTGTTTGAAAAATTGTTCCTATCTTCAGCCAATTGTTTAAATGAGTTATTTTCTTACTGTTGAGGTTTTAGAATTCTTTATGTAGTCTGCTTAGAGGTTCTTTATCAGGTATGTGTTTTGCAAATATTTGCTCCCAGTCTTTGGATTCTCTTTTCATACTCTTATATAAGAGCCAATTTTTTTATTTTGATGAAGTTTAGTTTATGAATCAATTTTTAATGGATCAAGCTTTAGTGATATATCAAAGAAATCTTTGACTAACTCAAGATCACAAAGATTTCCACCTGTTTTCCTCCAGAATTGTTACAGTTTTGAGTTCTACATTTAGGCATATATTTCATTTTGAAGAGTTTCCATTGGTAGAATGTGTCTCAAAGTTCACCAATCTTGGTGATATCATTCATCTGTGTCCCCACTCAAATCTCATCTTGAATTGTAGCTCCCACAATTCCCGCATGTTGTGGGAGGGATCTGGTGGGAGGTGATTGAATTATGGGGGTGGTTCTTCCCTGTGCTGTTCTCATGATAGTGAATGAGTCTCCTGAAATCTGATGGTTTTAAAAACAGGAGTTTCCCTGCACAAGCTTTCTCTTTGCCTGCTGCCATCCATGTAAGATGTGACTTGCTCCTCCTTGCTTTCCGCCATGATTGTGAGGCCTCCCCAGCATGTGGAACTGTAAGTCCATTAAACCTCTTTTTCTTCCCAGTCTCAGGTATGTCTCTATCAGCAGCATGAAAATGGACTAATACACTTTGTTTCTCATTTTCTCTACCATATTGAACTATGTTTGTATAATGTGAGGGTAAATAAACATGAGTTTCAGGAATAAAAGGGATCAAAAACTTGAATTCCCTCATATTTGTGTTTAAGATCCTATCACAGGACATGGAATCTTAGAAAGTGAGCCAACACAGGAAAAGTAATGGAAAGTTCTAGAGTAAGCCTTATTCAAAAGACTTAGCCAACAAACAGATCAGAGTAGGTGGAAAGAGAAACAAGGGTTAGGAGGCTTTCAGGAGAAAGAAGAGTGAAAAGAGGGAGGGAGAGTGCAAACAGATACTTAGATGTGTTTGATTATTTGAAAGACTTTACAAAGCATTTGACAAGTTTTGATCTCAAAAAAAGTTTAAAGACATACATAAAAATAAGCAAATAAAAAATTGTATAATTATTAACTTCAGGAAAAACAAAAAGTTGTACAAGAAATGAAATCTAATAATACATGACATGGCTTGACAATAAAAATAATTTACCTACTCATAAAAACATAAAAACTGTCAGATAATTAACTGAAAATATAATTCAATTGAATGAATGAGTTAGTCACGGGAAGAGTTGTAGACAAGCTAAATCCTCAACTACCATTAAAGAAATGTAAGAGATATTGACTCAAACTAAATACTCAACACTATAAGCACATTTCTTAGAAATATGGAGGTCACCACCTGAAGTTAACAGCTAGAAAAATTTGAAGTGATTGCTTCTGGGCATAGAAGGGTAGGGAGTGGGTGTCCAGTGGGAGGGCTAAACCCAGGGACTCCACGTAGAGTGGAGAAATGAATAGATGGAAAGTGTTGTTGTTGTTGAATTATGAACATATATTACTTTGTTTTCAAATATTGATTTTTAAAAATGCAAGAAGTTACTCTTTAAAGTCTTATTAGTGAGTCTCATAAATAGAGCCTTTGACTAAAGAAAATCAGCAGGACAATATGGCTATCCTGGGAGAGAGAACCTAAGTAGTGTCTGCTGTCTTCTCTGTGTTATGAGAACATCTCTCACATTCCATTTCCTCTCTTAGCCCCTTTTGACTTCTCTTCCCATCTTTGCAATCTTCGCCACCCTAAGGGTCCCTGAAAGGTCACTGTACTCTAAAATTGGAATAAATCATTGCTTTCAAAGGGAAATAATCAAATGCAAGAGGGAAGGGAGTGGTGGTTCCAGATTCTACTCAAAATCCAACCACAGTTTATCCTAAATGGTGTCAGCCAGCAATAGGCTTTGTGCTGCTGCCGACAAATGCGGTTCTCTTAGGACTACTGGGTGATAGTGACAGTGATGTTGCTGTGGTCTTCTCTGGCCATTCTGTCAGAGGAAGGGGTGTTGTTGGTAAAAAAACAGCCCAGCTCAGACAATGCAGCAGCTGCCTTGACTAAGAATAGAATCTGTGTTTGATTTGAATTAGCCATTTGAAACAAGAGCAAAACAGCTCTGAAAGTAGTACCATCTGTTTTCCTTTAAGGCTGGGTCATAAATAACAAGATGAAAATATATTTCCTGTTCTGCATTTGTGACCTGAACTGCCTTCCACTGTGCTGTCACTGACCACTTCTGCTGTAAATGCACATGACATTAATTGGGCAGCTGTTGGCTATGAGGTGTGTAGACTTTGTTGTTGCTTTGTTTTGTCTTGTTTCCTAATCTCTATACTTATCAGGAGCTCCTTTATTTCACCTCTCACATGTTAAGCAAAAAAAAAAAAAAAAAGGAAAACAAAAAAACATAAAGAAGTTATTCTTTGTATATTTTTTAAAAAACAACTCACACTCCAAATAGCGAAGTGATCAAAGAGTGTAAAACTGTGGCTGACAATTCCTGCATGGTAGAAGGATATCTTCCAAGTCAAGGTCAAAATGAATTAAGAGGTAAGGGAGAAGACAGGGAGATTATACAGCATTATTCACCAGGCTGGACTTCCTAATCCCCATAATATAAGAATGCAGAGAAGAAAGAAGCATCAAGAACAGAGAGAAGATTCCACAAAAGCACAATTGTTCCTCCCATGGAGATCAGGACTCTGTCCTTGAGTCCTTCCAAGCTGGGCTCTGCACCAACTGTAAACTGTGATTGACCAGCACTTTCCTTAGTTATCTTTTTAACTGTCGTTCATACTGAAACAACTCTGGTTTTGTTTCCTCGATAACTCAAAGGGGAAAGGCTATGATGGCTGGTAGGCCATCCCCTTTTTAATGCTCAGCTTGGCTAGTTGCCAACATAGTCTACGAGGCATTTCAGATGACAGACATGCAAACATGAAACGCACCATAAAGGGCTGGGGTCTGTGCAGGTTTTAGATCAGCCAACCATGAAGGAAGCTGCACTTAACAGTGAATGTCTCCAGGTTATAATAACATGTTCTTTTAAGAAACAGTGTGGAGGGTAAGGGGAGGGAGAGCATTAGGACAAATATCTAATGTATGCGGGGCTTAAAACCTAGATGATGGCTTGATAGGTACAGCAAACCACTATGGCACATGTATAGTTATGTAACAAACCTGAACACTCTGCACATGTATCCCGGAACTTAAAGTAAAATTAAAAAAATAAATAAAATAAAATAAAAAGAAACAATGTAGAGCCAAAGACAGACAAACAGAAGTGTTATGAGGCACATCCAGACGTTAAGAAAGGTGTTGCCTTGGAGACCTGGTACAAATGCCGGGTCCTCGGGATGACGCTGCACACTTGACAACATGGAGCCCAAGCACAGCAGGGACCACACAATCATCGGCTGAGAGATCGTAATAGAGAAACAAGGTTGGGGAGGACCTGGTAACACCATGCTTGGACAAACACAAAAGACTCCTGATGAGTTTTCCTGCCTACAGGCTCTGCCTATCCAGACCACTCTGGACCATGTTGACAGATTAATCTGTCTTTTAAAAAATGCTGTCAAGACAACAACTACAAAAAATCCAACCACCTCCATTCATTTCCTGTTTCTTCAAAATCATCCTTTCCTCCCAGTTTGTCCCCAGACCACCCCTTTAGCTGGTCTCCCATGGCTCACCACACTTCTGCGTTTGCTCCTTCCAAAGCCTCTGCTTATAATACACAACTCTTGCCCCATTTCCATCGACTACATGAGGCCTCCCACCCATCCTTCAAGGCAGGATCTTACCTCACTTTTCCCAGAGTTTGCTCCACCACTCCAGCCATGGGAGCTCCATGGACGAACAAAAAAAGATCAAATATGCTTTGGAATCACCACATATGGACTCTTCCTTTTGGAGAGTTATTATGTAATTGTCACAGAAGGCTCTGAGAAGTCACACAGTGAAGAAACCTTTTGAATCTTTCTGGCTTGTGGTAGCTAAACATATTTGACCCCAGGACCGTGTGAATCATAACAAACTAGGGGCTTTTTTTTTTTTTAAGAAACCACTCAGGAAAGCACTGACTGAAACCCACCTCTTTCAGGAAATCACTCCTGAACACTCCATCCCATCACTCTAGCCCTGCTGAACTTAAGACATAGTGATTGTTCGCACTTCTGCTTCAGTACGTGAAATGTCTGGCCATCTTCTTATATATGTATGTCAAAATGATATTAATAGTAATCATAATAGATACAATTTAATAAGAACTAGTTACTTTCCAGGAATGAAACCTAGAAGTCATTTAACCAATGGTTATTCTTTACTACAAGGTCAAAGTAATTTCTCTATGCTGAATTTTCCTTTGTGTTGAGTTAAGAGAGTAGGATAGTAAGAGCCATGTGCCCTTCCTATTCACCTTTTGTCTGGTTTGGTTTCATTTCAACATAAAAACTAAGTCTTATATCATTGGTAAAAGAAAAAGTACAAAGTTATATGCAATGGTTACTTTTTAAGATAAAGGAAAAATGAGAATTAAGAAAAGGACTTCAAAGTTAATTTACCAAAATCCAACTACATCCTTGACATGTGCTGACCTCAATAATGCATTAATTACAAAAGGATTAACACTTTTCTCCATTGTAACAATGTAGTCCTCTGTCAATGGAAGGTGATAACAATATTTGCATTCATCCATTAGCATAGGATTCATAGATTATGAGAAAGGTCTTAACACTCTTCCTAAATGAAGTCAAGCATCCAGTGAAGGGACAGAGCTTCTTTCATAGTCTAAGAAGAAGAAACATTTTCAAACACTCAGCAACATCTTGCTCCCTGCTCTGCCCAAAGCTGCTAGGGGTGCTAGGAATGTGCTGACTGGCAGTATTTAACCTGTTTGCATGTAACTGGCTACACTGCATCAGCAACTCATTCTGATGATACTGTACAAGACACTATTTTCTGCATTATACACTCAGCCTTCCCTTTTTCTGCTGCCCACTCAGATAACTGTCAAATTTCAGATTGGATGCAATGGCTCAGTGAGAGAGATAGAAATAAACGCTATTTCTTCCCTGAATGATTCAACATGTTGCAAGCATGTTGGACTGGAGAATACCATTAGCATGGTAAATTTTAGTTATAAACATTTAGAGTTATTTTTTTCTTAACTAAATTCCAACACCAACTCTACTACTGTCTATGCCTTGAAATAGGATTTTGTACTTTTTGTGGAATGACATGACTCTTTAAAAAATGTAGTAAATATAAGGATATTTGGGCCAGGGAAAGAAAAAAGGATTTATGAATAGTATACACACCCTCAGGGGAATTTTTCTTACTCTTTCAAGTTTGTCCTCTCCTCTAGGTCAAGTCAGTAACACTGCCAAAGTCTTTAGAGGCATAAGAAAGCCTTTCACATGCTTATAACCTTGAAAGATGAATAGAAGAATATCTAAGAACTTCCCTTAAAGGTTCATTGTTTTTTCTCTATGAAAAGG